>NC_000005.10:88594655-88897685 GCF_000001405.40 Homo sapiens
GAGCAAGAGGGATACTGGTAGAAGGTGAGATCAGAGAGGTCATGGGAGGCAAGGGACAGGATTTCAAGTAGGGAGGGAGAGAAGAAGAAGGCTGAAATGGCCACCAGCAGATGTGTCTGCCTCCTCTGAGACTAAACAATAATCTACCCTGGGCTTAGTTTGAACTGATCTTAGTCTGAACTCCCATCTCAGACCAGGATACCTTGGAAGAAACACAAAATTAATTTTACCATTTCAAAAGTAGGATGATAATCACACATACAAAGTGAGGTAAGAAAAACTGACACAATGTGCATAAAATTGGTATAAGTATATAAAAGATTATTTATTCATTCATTTAAAATTCATTAATGGAGCACCTACTATGCATCAAGCAAAATGCTAAGGATAAAAAGTGACTAATAAACTGGTGAATAATTACTGACCATTCATTACTTGAGAGTTAGAGTCTAGAAGCAAAATGATTTAAAAAGGCAATGAACTGCAGTGCCATAACATTAAAGAATGACACTGGAATAAGCAAAATTTCCCTGACCTCACCTAGGAGGCAGGACATTTATTTAAGTGATTCTTCCCACTTTTCCACTTCCTTTTATTCAAACCATTTGTTTCTAATATTCTTTATATAGCACCCATTTTTGAGAAGAGTAAAGCTAAATAAATGTATTGGAAAATATTAATGCTTACAACATTCATGAACTAGCCCAGAAGACATTTCTAAACATAAAGAAACAATTTCTTGACAAAATAGCAAAGATTAAGGATCGGGGTTCTCTGCTTCTCTATTTGTGTTTATCACTCTTATCATCTTGCTATTTTCCACCTTTCTTGAACTGTCTAGTGTACTGAAGTTTAAGGAATATATTTTCCATGATATTCTGCAATCTCCCCAAATTAGTTTCTTCCAAAATATTTGTTTTAAAATTGACAATAGAAATATTATTAATTTTATAGTACACAAATAATTAAGATCATCTGGAAGAACATAAAAGTTGAGCTTAATTAACATAAAATTTCAATCATTCCCATATCTCTTAACAAGTGCCTTATATATGTGAGTACGTATGTGTGCAGTGTGTACACACATGTGTGCATCATGTGTCTCTTTAACATCTTTCTTTAATCATATAGTTTCTCACCTAAAAGTGAAGACAGCACAGTATATATTCTAGTAGGCAACCCACTTAGGATGTTAGATTTCACCCTTGGCTTTCCATGAATAGTCTTGAAAAGTAATCTACTTTCAACTTACCTACTTACAACTGAAGGCATCTCCTTTCAATTGTAAGGTTAGGAATTCTATGAACAAAGCTTATTTTAATTTGAGATGTTTTTCTAACCTAATAATTTAAACCTTTTAAATGGCTGTTTTACAACATAAATTTCCATTTTAATCTGTATACATTAATTTTGTTTAAAAGAAAACTGTCTAATTACTGCCTTGGTACTTTGACCATAGAGCCATCTCAGGGTGTAGGTGTATTCTGTGGCTTTCTACCTGTGTCTCCATGTGCCCTCACTGCCTATCCTTCCCTGCTCCACAGTCATTGTCACCCCCACTGTCCTCCATGCCTGTAAGCCTGGCTCTTCAGGGTTAGAAAACAGAGAAAGAGACACCCTCTTCAAGTGGCTATTGCTAAAATGCCCCAAGGGCATGCCCTAAACACATCCTTATTACAACAAGACCAGATTATTGCATTAGTTACCGTCATAAGAACACAGAAAGATACAAATAGAAGTTACCGAATTCTGGCTCTACAGGTGATGCCTCTAATAAATTAAAAATAGCAGTCCTTCAGATTTATGTAGTTTCATGGAGTTCACAGAGGATTTTCTTATGCATTATGTATTTGATCTTCATAAGCATCTGGATCTATTATCTCTCTTTAAAGATGAGGAAACTATGACTCACAGAACTAGACCTCCCAACCCACACTATCCACTAAACCAAAATGAGATCCTTTGAAGTGGGAGGGGAAAGGAGGGCTAAGGAAAGACTAGCCAGGACAGTAGGGAAGGAAAGGCAGAATAAAGTAGAGGTTGTCAAAAAATAAGTATCACCATTTGGCCCCAGACTCCCCACCTATCAAGTTGGTGGAAAACATTTCCACATTTATATTACTTACGAGATTGCTGCTTTCCTTCTGATTACCAGATGTTTACTAAGAGGGGGAAAAAGCTACTACAAATAAACTAGAAATCAAATGTTTGTGTGGACGGCAAGCTCTAATAAAACAAACTAAATGATTTGGTCATTTCCTTGACCAACCCTAATTTTTGCCTTTTTGTGGCAATTCAGTCAGGATTTTCTAGTGTAGACAAACATAAAATTAGTTCCTATAGTGCTTTACTAAAGCATGGGTTATTTAAGTAGAATTTAAAGGGAAATTAAGAATTAGGGCTACTTATTTAAAGACCAAATTTTTACGTAATAAATGTAAAAGCATAGTATCCATGAAAACAAGCACACAAAAATGCCATAACAACAAGTAAGAAATTATTTGGCAGAGAGGCAACCAAAGCATACAAGGCCATTTATTTATTTATCCATTCATTAATTCTTTTATTCTTTCGACAAATGTTTATTGAATATTTACCAAGGGGTCAGGACTATGCTAAAGAGAAAGATAAATAAGACACGACCTCTGCTCTTGAACAGCTCACATCCAATGAGATCTATACCATAAAGTGAATAAGTGACTAAAGAGCACAGTAAATGCTGTAATACAGTTATAAATCAAGTTCCACGACTGTACAAGAGAATGGAGCAGTTAACTCCATGTAAGGATAGATGAAGACTCCTTGAAGACAGGAGTATTTTAGCTACATCTGAAAGTTTGCAGACATAAATATTTTAAATGCATATGCTTGTTGAATGTAAGTGAATGTGTTTACAGTCAAGGAAGGGCAAAAGTAGAGTAGGAGCTTGTCTTTTCCTTTTTAAAGAAGAAGTGTGTTCTAGAAGAAGTTTGCCATAGAATTCCTGCTGAGATAAGAGCCAAAACCAGCAAGGAGAACAGTAAGAGGAAGTATAGGCAGCTAGGTAGATTAGGATAGAGACACGTCCTGGATCAGGAATCATCCTAATGTAGATTTGATTTGGAATAGGAGGTGTCAACATCACCCATTTACAAAAACAAACAAACAAACAAACAAACAAAAATGTATAGCAATGCCCTGGTGCCATGGAAGTGCATAGTCCAAAGCTCTAGTAATTTAATGTCTAAGAGTTTGTTGCAAATTTAAGCTAAAATGCATTCCTCCATAAGACGCTAAGGCGTTTTTAAGATATTTTGAGATGGGACCAGGCTTCAAGGAATGAAAAAGACCTTTTGAGGGTCTAGTGAGCACTGGAAGAAAACACCAATGAAATCCTTACTCTTCCACATTTGGCCCTACTTTTTTTAATCCATAGATACATAGCCTTTGAAAAAAAATTTCATGTTTTCATTTAAAAGTAGCACCACTAATGTTTTATTGAAATACATTACTAATAATAATATTTATTAATAAGTCCCTAAATGTTCCAAAATTGATCTTATAAGACCCTAGAACCCCAGCACACTACAATTGTGGCATATATAAAACACGTGGAATGCTGAGGATGAAGGAAAGGAGCTTTTTTGGTATTTGGTGGAAATTGACAGAAAGCATTTTCAAACTTCTCAAATTTGAGAAATAGATTTTTTAACATTATTTATCTTTTTGGATCAGTTTTCAGAACAGTAACTTTGTTATCAAGAGTGACTAATGAGTATGCTTTTTAAAATCATTGAGATTTTAACATGCTTGCTATTTTTAATCCATTGTAGTATTTTATGTAGATTTATGTATATATACTTATTTGTGACTGTTGACATTGCAACAATATTCAAGAATATTTTGGAAATAATCACTTATCCTCTACCCAGTTTTTTCTTTTTTTTGCTTATTTTCTTTTATAAGCATAGTTGTAAAAATCAGAATGTTTTTAATGTTTTAATGATTTTAACATTCAGAGTAATTAGACGCTGAAAGAGTCCCTTGAGAGAGAAAGTTGGGTAATCACTGATACGAAGTGAACCAAAAAAATACTAGGTAGTCTCAAAACTGAAGAACAAGGCCTGAATAATCGGAAATAGCCAAAGGACATGTTGGTGATTGTGCTATTACAGAGGCTAGTTCTTTATAATAGTTATATTTTAATACTTTGGAAATGGATCAAAAGCAGAGGTCATAGTTGAAAGATCAGAGGTGAAGTAACAGGGAAAACATAATAATGAGCTTTTACTTTAATCACTTAATGCACAAGTTTAAGTCTGATTTTCTTTAAACAAAGGACTATTATTTGAAGAACACCAAAAGACCTTGACAAAGAGAAGATTATTTGAAGTTTAAGTTCTAAACTCTTTTAAGGGTTTAAAGTATTGTGAGGAGACCCTTTAAAACACACCACCACTGTTGGGGACTCAGCAAAAGTGAAATGAGGAAGAACCCTATTTTTAATATCTTTGAAAAGGAGATTCTGCCTTTAGAAGAGTTATCCAGAGTTCACAGGTTGGAAAATCAGCCTATTATAGCTGGTTTTGCATCTGGCAATTTTAATAATCCTTGGACTGACATGATGAACTAGATGAACCCTTATGGGCACTTCCAGACCTGCAAGCCTATGATGTCCTTTCCAAAATAAATCCTTGATGTACCACAAAGATCAGTTTGAAGTATCTGAGAATAGCTGAAATCAATGCCCTTCTTTCAATATCTTTTGGAATATTCTTGGCTAAAACAAATTTCTCTTATAGGCCTTAAAAATGTGATGATAATCTGCGCAACTGAACTGTGTAGGCAGCTGAAAGATAAATATATACTAATCAATCTATTAGGCAAAATATTTTTTAGTAATCTCTTAATTTTCCAAAGTTGTATAATAGCTAAAAATTCATTTCCACTTAAATATTTTAAAAATATCTCTCATCTAGAAACTTCTCTTTGGATCACTTAAAATTTATTGCTTTCTTAAACAGAATATTAAAATATTTTAAATCTCCCAGTTCAGTTCATTTGCAGACATAGGCTGAGCTGCATTTCAATTAGTTGTGCAAAAGCCATACTTTTTCAAAGATGTATATAACTTATATTTACACAAATATTCCTATAAAACTCAAGTACTTCACAGAAGACTGAATGAGGAAATGTTTTATTTTAATATGTATAGTGTAACCTCACTGAAGAATTTTTATGTAATTTTATTGCTGTCACTTAGAGCCGTGGTCCCCAACCTTTTTGGCACCAGGAACTGGTTTCGTGGAAGACAATTATTCCATGCATGATGGCCAGGGCAGGGAAGGTGGAGAGGAGTGGGTATACCAGTCTGTGGCCTGGGAGTCAGGGGACCCCTGACTTAGAGCAACTCTTAAGAGTTGCTTTAAGAATCTCTTTTACCTACATTGTAGACAGATAAAGCCTTCTAAGTGGTAGTACATGGATAGCAACTAAAAACTGTAGCTAGATAAATAAGTGAATAAAACATGTTCTTCAGACATAAACATTTTCACAGAAGTATTTAGGAGTGAAAAGATTTACTACCTGGGATTTACTTTAAAATCATACAATAAAAATTAATTTATCATTAAACCCTTTGACATTTGACTGATTCTATTTTTTCTATCTTACCATTAATAACTGTACATTTTAAAAGTTTTCCTGGCATTCTGGGCTTTCTTTTCTTTTTTCTTTTCTTTTTTTTTTTTTTGAGAGGATGTCTCGCTTTGTTGCCCAAGCTGGAGTGCAGTGGCGCGATCTCAGCTCACTGCAAGCTCCGCCTCCCAGGTTCACGCCATTCTCCTGCCTAGCCTCCCGAGTAGCTGGGACTACAGGTGCCCGCCACTAGGCCCAGCTACTTTTTTGTATTTTTTAGTAGAGACGGGGTTTCACTGTGTTAGCCAGGATGGTCTCGATCTCCTGACCTCGTGATCCGCCTGCCTTGGCCTCCCAGAGTGCTGGGATTACAGGCGCGAGCCACTGCACCCGGCCACATTCTGGGCTTTTTTAAAAAAGACCTTGATTTGCATAAAATATAAATCTTTCCTTTTAAATGTAAATACTAAATATTGTAAATCCCAAATCTTTTATTGCACTATCCAGAAAAACAAAATAAAATAAAAGCTTCTACAATGAAAATGTCTTTAAAGTACTCATGAGCATGGCAGGGGGGTGTTGGGGGAATTCTGTCAACTCAGAATTTTATATCCAGAGTAAATATCCCTTTAAAAATCAAATGGAAAAGAATAAATAACAAATAAAAGCCTCTGATATGAAGTTAGTTTATTTCAAGTTGTTAAGATTGTTGTTTTTTCACATAGTCACACACACAGCAAATCGCAAGCCACACTAAGAACAAATATTAGGTAGGTTGGTGCAAAAGTAACTGTGGTTCTTGCAATTACTTTTAATCGCAAAGCAAGGCAAGAGAAATTTGGTTTTCAACATTGTTGAGTGCAAGACAAAGCAAAGCCAAATTTGCAAACCACATTTCTAGCCTTCCACCTTCCCAAACTGCTCCTCCCAGTGCCCCCATCTCAGCAAGCGGCAACTCCAATCTTACAATTGTTCAAGACAAAAATCTTAGAACCATCCTGGGCTCCTCTCCCTTTCTCACTTCTCTCATCTAATCCATTAACAAAACAGGTCAGCTCTATTTACAGAGTATGTCCAGGTCTCTGACAGCTTCTCGCCATCTCAATTGCTACCAGCTGGCTTCAAGCCACTGTTAGCTCTTATCTTACTGTAGTAGCCTCCGAGCTGGTCTCCTGTTTCTGACCCAGACCGGGACAGGATATTGTCAACACAGCAGCCCACAGTATTCTTTTTCATATAAAGATCAGCCCACATCATTCCTCTCCAGTGATTTTTTTTAGATCAAAACTCCAACGATTTACTATCTCAATCAAAGTAAAAGCCAACTCAGGAGGCTGAGGCAGGAGAATCGCTTTAACCCAGGAGGCGGAGGTTGCAGTGAACCGAGATTGCACCACTGCACTTCAGCCTGGGCGACAAGAGTGAAATTCTGTCTCAAGAAAAAAAAAAAAGAAAGAAAAAAAAAGTGAAAGCCAGAGTCCTTACATAACTTTCAAGGTCCTACATAATATGATGCTTCATTTTCCTCTGATGTTATCTCCTGCTCATTCTGCACCGCCTGCACTGGCCCCTTCAAACACTTGAAGCATGCTCCGTTCGGAGCTTTGAACTTGCTGTTCCTCTGCCGGCAGCACTCTTCCTCCAGCGACGCTGTCTCCCCCAGAGAGCTACACAGCTTGCCTCCCCACCTCTTTTAGTTGTCTTTAAATGTCATCTTCTCGTGAAGATGAACTGCCCTCATGCACAATTTTAAATAGCAATCTCTGCTCCAAAGCCCTGATCCCCTTCACTACATAGCACTTGTTACCATCCGACATACTATATGTTTAACTTCTTTATTTGTTTATTGTGTCTCTCACCCCAACTGGAATATAAGCCCACTGAGGGAAGATACTGATATCTGTTTGGTTCACTGCTGTGTTCTTGACATCTAGAAAAATGTCTGCCTTAATAAATATTTATAAATAAATGAATGAATAAACTTTAAAAAACAGATTTTCAAAGCACTTAATATTTTCTCATATGCAAGAAATTCAAATAAAGTACTGACTTTTTTCTTTCACAAACCAAAGACCTCTTCTCTTTCCTCAGGTATATTTCTAGATGATACTTCCTCCCACATTCTCACTTAAAAAATTCACTGACCATGAACAAGCATTAAGATAGCTCTAAGGCATTATGTTTCTCAAGCAAGAGCCACATTGAAAATTCCAATTTGGGAGACTGGTTTTGGGTGGATTCTGAGTTCTGAGAATCCAGAAAGAAAGGAAAAAACATATTTAAACATTCAAAATTCCAAGTATACCCATCAATTCCCAAAACTTTTGGGGTAATCAAATTTTATTCCTGTGCCCAGTTCAGAGTTTGTAAATAACACTTTCTACACTCACTACAGATGACGCCGCCGGGCCGCCGTCGCCCTCTAATGCTAGCGCCGCCTCTCGCTTGGCTGAGCTCCAGCCGAAGAAGGGGGTTAAGCAAGGAGGTCTTCATACCGTGGTGCCTGCAAAGCGGACTGCACGCAAATCCACGGGTGGTAAAGCACCCGGGAAGCAACTGGCTACAAAAGCCTTTTGCAAGAGTGCGCCCTCTACTGGACGGGCGAATAAGCTTCATTGTTACAGGCCTCGTAGTGAGGCACGATTCGCAAACTTCCCTTCCAGCGTCTGGTGTGAGAAATTGCTCAGGATTTTAAAACAGATCTGTGCTTCCAGAGTGCAGCTATTGGTGCTTTACAGGAGGCAATTAAGGCCTAACTGGTTGGCCTTTTTGAAGACACCCACCTGTGTGCTATCCATGCCAAACGTGTAACAATTATGCCAAAAGACATCCAGCTAGCATGCCGCACACATGCTAGCACATGGAGAACGTGCTTAAAAATCCACTATGATGGGAAACATTTCATTCTAAAAAAAAATTATCTTCTTCCTGTTATTATTGGTAGTTCTTAATGTTAGATTTCTCCCCGCCCGCCCCCTCCCCCGGCCCCATGGGGTCTGAAGGTACCTAAATTTATGATTGCGAGTGGAAAAATAGGGAATAGAAATCAGGGATTGGCAGTTTTTCCATTTTCATTCGTATGTGAATTTTTAATATTATGCGGAAACACAAAGCGTTAATGCAAGTCAAAACGTTTCAGTGAACAGGTGTCAGTGGTTCAACTTTATAATAATTATAAATAAACGTGTTAAGTTTTTCTGGACAATGCCAGCATTTGGATTCTTTAAAAAACAAGTAAATTTCCTACTGACTGCAACTAAATGGTGTTTGTAGCATTTTTATCATACAGTAGATTTAATCCATTCACCAAATGTTTCTGAGTTGTACTACATGCAAGTACATGTTTTTAATGTTGTCTGTCTTCTGTGCTGTTCCTGTAAGTTTACTATGAAAACACATTAAGCCTAAAAAAAAAAAAAAAAAAAAAAAAAGAGGCTACAGGTAATTTCATAACTGTCCTACACCCACATTTGCCATTCCTTCAATTTTTGAGACACATACCCAGAGATGAATATATATGTTTGTCTGGCAAAGATCAAGCTTGATTTCAGGCTCCTCGAGGACAGGAAAGGTAGCACACACTTTTGCTTTTATACAGTGCACAGTGACAAGCACTGAGCTTACACTAGATATACTGTGATCAGTTTCCTTGTCCAGGCTTTCCCGCTAGCTGAGTGACCTTAAGTAAGTCATCTAACATCTCTAGACCTGTTTTCTCCCTCTCTTCAACCAAAAAACCAACAGAGTTGAACTGGTTGATCTCTGGGGCCATTTCCAGCCCTAATAGTCTAAAATGTATAACTCTAAATGCTACTGTAAGTTACTATTTTGTTTATTCCATCAGAGTTTATCAAACTTGTCATCGATGCTCCCAGATGCTTCTGTTTTTAAACTTATCATGTATTTTTTATTATAATTTACAAATGCTCTTTAACTTATAGCCATTTTCTCTTAACACAAAATTGTGTTTGTTGATAGTAATGAGCTGTGGAGTTTTGCTGGTCCTTATTCAAACAAAATCTTGCTCTGAGACTTACTAGGAATGTTTTGGGAGGAATCCTTTAAATATTTTCATCTGTCTTACAGCTATCACTCCCTGATGGCTAAAGTCCTAACTGGCTTTTTAGATTTATGATATTAATGAACCTTGCTTATGTCGTTCAAAAATTTGTGTTACATTTATAGCAGCCCTTGACTATGTGTCATGCCACTCCCTACACAATTAGACTTTAGCAATCCCACTTATCTTGCTTCTTTCTTTTCTTTTTTTAACCTTTCTCTTATTGTTCTTATCCTTTCTTGTGTAAAATTCTACTGCTTTCTTGTCAAAAATGCCTAATTCTGTCCTTCTAACCCAGTAATTCTGATTACCTTCAATATTGCTATTACATAGTACTTGTACACATTGTCTATTCAGTCTTGAACAATCTTTTTACAGAGATTGATAACTCTTAATTCCTCAAAGGAAAGGTGCCTACAGAGTATCTAACGTTACCATTTGTCGGAACATACTTAAGAGGATTTGCTGACAAAGTCATCTCTATTCAAATTGCATGTTTAAAAACAATACCCAAGGAATTGGGTTAAACGAAAATAAAACAAAAAGTCAGTAGTTATTGAGGCAAATAATATCTTCATTAAAACACTGAAAATCGGCAGGGCTCGGTGGCTCACGCCTGTAATCCCAGCATTTTGGGAGGCTGAGACGGGCGGATCACGAGGTCAGGAGATACAGACCATCCTGGCTAACACGGTGAAACCCCGTCTCTACTAAAAATACAAAAAATTAGCGGGGCGTGTTGGCGGGCGCCTGTAGTTGCAGCTACTGGGGAGGCTGAGGCAGGAGAATGGCGTGAACTCGGGAGGCGGAGCCTGCGGTGAGCCTAGATCGCGCCACTGCACTCCAGCCTGGGGGACAGAGCGAGACTCCGTCTCAAAAAAAAAAAAAAAAAAAAAAACACTGAAAATTTATAATTATTCTTAAATCCATGTAACTAGTCTCATTCATCTCTACTAGTCAGCTGTGCTTAGAACCCCAACTGCCTGCAGTATTGACTGCTGGCGGCTCACAGTGTGTCCCTCCATACGGGATCACCTGTGACAAGGGCAGCTGCCTCTCCCAAGATTCCACCCCCTCCCTGATGACAGCCTGCACACAAAGGTGGCCAACATGGATAAAAGCCTTGGCCCCTTGCCTCAGTTTGAGACAACTCTAAAGGGCAAGCCCAGTTCTGGCACTTTCAATGGGATTCCTTATTCCCAATCCTGCTTCCCAAGATTACTCCCAATAAACGTACTGCACTCAAATCTTCATTTCAGGGTCTTTGTCTAGGAAACCCAGCCTAAGGCAGGAGATACAAGCCCATTAAATCAAATATTAAGACTTATAGCCTGGTTCTTTTTTTTGTCTAAACTAGGTCTGGCAAATAGATTTCAATAAGAGTGTCAGTTTATATCCACAGGTTAGAACTGCTTGAAGTATCATCTTGAAAATGATTCCAAGGGTAAGTCTGCTGATTTGTAAAGAGTACCATGATCAATTTAGGATGTCTTCCAAGGATGCAGAAGGAAGCAACGATGGAAAAGTGCCAGGGATCTACCACCTCTGCAGCATCTATTGGGTTTGCCTGCCCAGTACTCCCTTTTCTGATAGCAAGACCCTGATTTTACCTTGGATAAACACCCCTCTGCACGACCCCCACCATCTCACCCTCTCCTACTCCAAAGACAAAACACCCTAGGACTGAAATCAGCCAATCTATCCACCGGCCAAAGTGAATTTTCAAAGATAGGTATGTGAGGTAGGTCAGTCTGTTGAAAGTAAATCATTTCAGTGAACTTTCAGAACTTTTAGCTGTGATTTTTTTTAGGCATGAGAATGTAAGTCTAAATATGCTGTAATCATAACCTGAGGATAATCTACTTCAGTATGAATTCTATATAGAGGAAAGAAGAATTGAAAGACTACTACAACCATACCTGAAGTCAGTCCCTTGGATTTCTGAGTTGCACGAGTAAATAAATAATTTCTCTTTGAATTAAGCCATTTTGACTTGTGTTTTGGTTTCTGGCAACCAAAAGAGTCCTGACTCATGTACTTAAATTCATATCTAGTAACCCAGCTATGTATGAGGCAAGAAACTATAGAAGGTGGAACAATACTAAATATTTTGACTCATATAAAGGATGATTGTGCACAATGAATGTTTTATTTTAATTTATTCATAATCATTTTTATTTCAGAAATATTGAGGGTCACTTTTTTCATGTAATGTGATTTCATACATTTAGTTCTAAAATTCACTGGGAAATTCATGCCAAAATGTGTCCCTAGAAGTAGATTATTTTGAACTATTTATAATACCTTTATATTATTGTAACCCGGATACCCTGTCCAGAATTTCAATTTCATAAGCATAATTTGGAAAACTATAACTGTTAACCAACATTCATTATGTGAATAATACCTAACGTGAGTCAAGTTTTAAACTGCTTCTAAATTGACCGTAACGTGGCAGGAACAAATAAATGAATTAGACCTGAGGCTATCCACATGAGCAATCCAAACATATTCTATTGGTATATCTCATATAATAATAGCTGATACTAAACATTTACTAAGGGCCAGGAACTATTCTAAGCACTTGATAGACATTAACGCATTGAATTTCAACAATAATCTTTTGAGACAGATGTTAACATTTTATCAGTTATATAGAAGAGACAAGTAATTTGCCCAATGTCACACAAACAGTAAGTAATGTGCCCCAGATTCAGATCCAGACTGTTAGATCTCAGAACCAGGATACTCTACTCATACATAGTTGCTGTGACAGAGCTCATTATAATGTTTAGACTCAGGACCCCATTTTCTTTGTGCAGATATAGTTGTTTTCTTGCATATGAACCTGGCCTAATCAGATAAAGCCAAGCCTGGGGCAGTAGACTTGGGACAGTCCAAACACCAGTGCCTTTAAATATTGTGGGCGAAACTTAAGGCAGTCCAAAAATACCCCTCTCACCAACAATAATTCAGTATTAATGTGTTGTTTCACGGGAAACAACTGTGTTTAAATACTCCTGTTAAAATAAAAATTAGTTTCTTGAATAAGTAATATACTCATCAACATTTGAGGGTCAACTAACTATCCAGCTGGTTTCCTAGCAAAGCTTGGGAGAATTACCAGGTAAGAAAGGAAAGGGAAAGTTCTAAGTTCTAAAGGAGGCTGAAAGAATGGGTATTGCAAAATTTTTTGTAATATAGTTTCATATTTGTATGTGAAAATCTACATTCTATGTCATGAATTCTAAACTTTTCAAATCATTAATAAAATCACACCATAAGACTCATAAGAGGTGGATTAATATTTACTGAACGTGAGAATGTGCAGGTTCAGTGATAGATGATTCACTCACACACTCCTCACCCTTTGGCTTCTTTCTCAAACCATTTTGTGGCTTCCACCTCCACCCCCTGAGAGTATTACTTATATCTATTTTTTAATCACCCTAAAACATGTTTAATGCTACAATCATGATATCATATATTTCTCATATTACCAATAAACAAAGGGAAGTTTTCAAGTATTGGGGGTTAAAAAGTCTTTTAATAGGCCTTAGATGACACGTAGGTATGAAAGGGTAGGTAGTGTCATTAAATGCATTCATAATCTAATTTGGCCAATTATAGCATTTATTACAAAATGAGCACCAGGAAAAAACATAATCGCCAGCCTCTTAATTTGGGGGAAGGAGAGTGCTATAGACTGAATGTGTCCCTGTCAAATTCATATGTTGAAATCCTAACTCCTAATGTGATTAGACAGTGGGGCTTTTGAGAGATGATTAGGTCATGAGGGCAGAGCCTTCATAAATGGGGTTGTGCTCTTAAAAAGAGACCCCGGAGAGCTCTCTTGCCCCTTCCACCATGTGAGGACACAAGAAGATGGTTGTCTATAAACCAGGAAGTGGGTGCTCTCCAGACATGGACTCTGTTGGCACTTTGATCTAGGATTTTCCAGACTCTAGAATTGTGAGAAATAAATGTCCGTTGCTTATAAGCCACCCCATCCATGATAGTTTCGTATAGCAGCCAGAATGAACCAAAACAAAGAGGAATAGGTTAAGAAAAATTACCTAAAATTCCACGACCTCTTTTAGTTATAAGGCTTCTTTTTATTTCAAGTTATATGTTTTATTCTTAGTCAATGGCTCAATAGATTTTTAAACTGAAAAAAGAAAACAAAACAAAAAAAACCACAAAAGATTACAGGATGTGAAGAAAAAGTGAGAAAAGTAAGAAAGGTAGAGAGATAAACTAGAGTGGAAGTTGGGGAAAGAGAGTTGAGACAGACCTATTTTATACATGATATGGTTTGGCTCATGTGCCCTGCCCAAATCTCATGTCAAATTGTAATCCCCACATGCAAGGGGAAGAACCTAGTGGGACACGATTGGATCATGGGGGCAGATTTCCCCTTTGCTGTTCTTATGATAGTGAGTGTGTTCTTACGAGATCTGATGGTTTGAAAGTGTGTGGCATTTCCCCCTTCTCTCTCTCTCTCTCTCTCTCCTGCTGTGCCATGGTAAGACATGCCTGCTTCCCCTTCACCTTCCAACATGATTGTAAGTTTCCTGAGGCCTCCCAGTTATGCTTCTGATTAAGTCTGCCGTACTGTGAGTCAAGTAAACCTCTTTTCTTCATAAATTACCCATTCTCAGGTAGTTCTTTACAGCAGTGTGGGAATGAACTAATACAATACCAAGAATTTTTACAGTCTTCACCCACTACAGAACATCTACAGGCACATACCTACTGCTTTTCTCTAAAATCTCGCCATAATCTGATACACTTTCCACCACTCTCATTCCCCACTGCTCCTCCCAGTTTGGGGCTGAGTTTCTAGTAGATGAAATCACATAAATAAATAATGAAATAATTTTAACTATTAGCAACTTCATTCATTTATACAACTGTGTCAAGCTCTGTATTGGCCACTGAAGATTCCATTGTGAACAAATCAGAAATACAATCCAAACCATGTATACAATTTTAAATTTTCTAAAAGCCACATCTTAAAAAGGTAAAACAAAACAGGTGAAAATAATTTTAATTACATATTTTATTCATCCCAATATATCCAAATTTTAACATTTCAACAGTTAATCAAATTTTAAAACATTAATGGGACATTTGCTTTTTTCAAATCAAGTCTTAAAAATCTAGTGTTTATTTTACACTTATAGCACATGAGTTCGATAGCCACATTTCAGATGCTCAACAGCCACATGTGGCTAGTGCCTATCAGGAGACACAGAATGTCTTGTCTTTCTTTTTACAATACTAAATTAATCAGTGGATTCAGATGTAGTCAACTTGATCTTTAATCAGCCATTTATTATCATTGCCTGAATCCATTATTTCATTAGAGTTTGCAAAATGGTGATATTCTATTATTCCCTCCACATTTATTAGCTGGAATTTTTCCACAAAGAAGAATTTTACTACATTAAATCTTTAAGTACCCTGAGGTACAGTTCTCATATGAAAGACAAAACAAATACTTGACTCTTTCCTTTTATTTACCAATTTTCAGAATGAGTTGATTTCCTAGCATCCTTGAAAAGTGACCTTTTTTGGTACTATCATCAACACATAGATTTCAATATACCTGATGTGTTTTAACCCATTGTAATTATTATTATTTTTGATGTTCAACTTGTCCCAAGTCTATGCAATAAGAGCTCTTTCCAGCTGGACCCTGTGTCCCTTTGACATAACCCCAGTGGTCATCAGTAGCTTTCCTATTTATTAGCATGAAAGATAAACCTGGTTTGTATTACATATATTTCCTGCCTCAGACCTGGAATCAGCCATTTTGGTAAGCCCCAGTGGAAAATGGCATTTAGAGACTACAGTCCATAGGAGAAAAAGCAAAACAAAACAAAATAAAACTTTTTTTTTTTTCTGAGATAGAGTCTTACTCTGTCACCCAGGCCTTAAGGTAGTATTATGATCTTGGCTCACTGTAACCTCTGCCTCCTGGATTCAAGCAATTCTTCTGCTTCAGCTGAGATTACAGGTACACGCCACCACACCTGGCTAATTTTTGTATTTTTAGTAGAGACGGGGTTTCACCATGTTGGCCAGGCTTTTCTCGAACTCCTGACCTCGTGATCTGCCCGCCTCAGCCTCCCAAAGTGCTGAGATTACAGGCATGAGCCACTGTGCCCGGCCCCAAATAAAACAATTTTTAAGGGATAGGTCAGGAGGGCAGGGAGAAGACCTGCCAATAAGAAGAAGAAGGGACATCCTAAAAAACTGGAGAAAAACCTAGAGAGCAGGTGATGTCACTGAAATGAGGAGAAAGGATATTTTAGAACAAGCAAATAATGAGCTACGTCAAACTCCACTGAGGTGTCAATGAAGATACTATGTTAGGGAGATGCAGGGCTCAGTGTTTTAGACCTTTTCTCATTTGTGTTTACACTCACTCCTAAGTAATCTAACCATTCTTTTGGTTTTAAATATCATCTTCTGACTCATGGTTTACAAACTTATACATAAGCAGCCCTGATCTCTCCCCTAAATTCTTGACTTGAATAGCCAACTGCCCACTCAATATCTCCGTTTGGGTACCTAGCAAGCATCTTGAGCTGGACACATCTAAAATTTGGACTCTCGATTTGCATGTCTAATCCCAACTCTGCTTCTTCCCTGGAATTTGCTATCTCAATAAATGATACAATCATTCCCTCAGTTTCTCAAGACAAAAAAACTTGGAAAAACTGATTCCTCTTTCTCTTATCAGCAAATTCTGTAAAAATTCTGCAAATCCCTCACATTTCTCCAGTCTCTAGTTCAATGCACCATCCTCCCCACATGTACCACTGCTCCAGTGAGTTCCCTAAACAACAGGCAGCATATTTCTAAAATGTAACTCAGATGATGTCCCTCCCTTACTCAAAAACATCCAAATGTATCCCATTGCCCAAAGAATCCAAAGTCCTGAGCTTTCAGTCAGAACAAGATAAAGTAAACACATTTCATTCATCCTATTCCTCCCACTATTTACAAAACAAACCAATCCTGGACAATATTCATAACGTAAGTAAAAGAAGACAAAACTGGAGGAAAGAAAGCAGACAGATTAGGGTCCCCAGGACTTGAAGAATGGCATAGCTATGAATCTCCTAGTCTTTGTTTTGTTTTGTTTACCTCTTACGTATCCTAGTCTTGGAGAGGAACACAACCTAAAACACCAGCAACCACACACACACACACATACACACGCGCGCACACACACACACACAGATCCCAAAAGGACAAAAAGCCCTAGCCAGAAGATGGAGGAAAAAGAAGTCCAGCAGGACATAAATATTTTAACCATACCTGCTCTATTCCAGTTGAACACCAAGAGAAAAACAATGCAGCCATACACCTTCCCTTCCTCACCAGATGCTGCAGCCTGGAGACTGTGGGCAGAGCCTTATCTTCTATCTCTGCCATACAATAAAGAAATGGTGTTACTCCTCCTTCCAATGAAAGAAAGGAGCTGTTGAAATCTTGAGAAAACTTCTTAGAAGTCCATGCATGTAGCCCCAGAAACAACATAGCAAAAGGTTTGAAAATTGAACACTCTTCTGAAACACTGCCCAGAATTCAAGTTGGTCTCTGGGAAGCACACAACTGGGGCAGACCAGAACAACACTGCAAAGGCTTTGAAATCTAAATTGGCATTTGAATCACAGCCCACAAAAGTAGGCTAGGATGTATATTCTTTATATAAACAGGTTGAATCCTTGCTAAAATAGAAGATTTAAATAGAAACCAGAGTCTTATACTTAGTATTCATAATGTTCAGGATACAATATAAAATTACCCATTATGGCAAAAACCATGAAAATCTCAATCTGAATGAGAAAAAGCAATCAAAAGACACCTACACTGAGAAAAGACAGATGTTGAAATTATCTGACAAGGATTTTGAAGCAGCCATCATAAAATGTTTCAACAAGTGATTTTGAATTCTCTTGAAACAAATGAAGAAATACAAAGTCTCAGCAAAGAAACATAAGATATCAGGAAGACCAAAATGGAAATTTTAGAAATAAAAAAAATTGAATGAAATTTAACACTCGCCTATTGACTGAAGAGCAAAATGAATATGACAGAGTTAAAAATCCGTGAATTTGAAGATATATCAATAAAAATTATTCAATCTGAAAACAGGGGAATAAAGATTGAAAAAAAATGAAAAGAGCCTCAAAAACCTACTGAATGATAAAAAAATATAACATTTGTGCTCTCTGAGTCCCAGAAGGACAGAAGAAAGAGGGCAGGGCTGAAAAAATATTTGCGGAAATAATAGCTAAAATCTCCCTAAATTTAACAAGAGGCATAAACTGCAGATTCAAGAAGTTGAGCAAATCTCTAACACAATAAACTAAAAAAACAGTCCAGGCTCAAACACATTATAATCAGATTTTGAAAACTAAACACTAAGAAAAAGCTTAAAAGCAGTCAAAGAAAAATGATACTTTATACTTGAAAAATTCTTAGAATAACAAAGGATTTCTCATTAGAAACCATGGGGAAGTGGCACAAAATTTTTTCAAGAGGAAATAAAAGAAGTCTCAATCCAGAACCCTATATCCAGTTAAAATGTTCTTCAGAAATGAAGATGAAATAAAGACATTCTCAGAGGAAGGAAAACTAAGAATTTTTCACTAGCAGAACTGCTGTAAAAGAATGGCTAACGGAAGTTTATCAAGCAGAAAGAAAATCCAAAGCCCTCACCATGGTGGGTCAGTATCTGGTGACTTGCCCTCATCTCTCCTGGTGGCATTTGGGTAATGGTATGATACCTGAAACCACAGCAACCATATTGCAGCAATGAGGGTCTAAGCCTGCAACCAAAACCAAAATCCTGAGGATGAAAGAGCTTAAAGAAGAACACAAGGATTCCTGATTGCATCACTGTATCAGTGAATGAAGCAATCATGAATCTAACATTGGGCTTCTTTTTATATGATATAATAGATTTCTTACTGTTTAAGCTTTTTTAGCTGAGAATTATTGTCACTTACAGCTGAAATTACAACTGATATGGGATTTGGGATTTATTTTTCCTTGCAGGAGTCTTCCTGGAGAAAATTAATTAAAATATACAGAATATTTATTTACAGGCTGGGCACAGTGGCTCATGCCTGTAATCCTAGCACTTTGGGAGGCCAAGGAGGGCAGATCCCCTGAGGTCAGGAGTTCGAGACCAGCCTGGACAATATGGCACAACCCTGTCTCTACTAAAAATACAGAAATTAGCCAGGAGTGAAGGCGGGCACCTGTAATCCCAGCTTCTTGAGAGGCTGAGGCAGGAGAATCGCTTGAACCCAGGAGGCGGAGGTTGCAGTGAGCCGAGATCATGCCACTGCACTCCAGCCTGGGTGACAGAGCGAGACTCCATCTCAAAAAAAAAACAAACAAAAAGAAAACTCACTTACAAAGATGTTTGTTACAGTATTATCACGATTATTTACAATAGTGGAATAAAAACATGAGCATAGGGGAATATCCAAATAATTACAGTTATGCAGCCATTAAATTTATGATTGTGAACAGTCTTAAATAACAGAATATTATAATGTTAGGTAAAATAAAAATACACAAAATTTTAAAAACCATTTAAAGTCTGGTAGGAGATACACTAAAATGTTGCCTTTGCAGATGAGTAATAGAATTATACATTTCTTTATTTTTTATACTTTTTTGTATTTACTTAATTATCCACAGCTGGCATGTATAATTTTTATAAAAATAAAAACTATGCTTAAAACATATGCAAGACTATAATTGTGAAGAGTATATGTAAACATGAAAAATGTTTCAGTAATATTAGCAAGTTAAAAACATAAAATTTTACTAACAGTGTATGTGTACCGCAATCTATATACCAAAATGAATACACCTTTTCCATTAAGGTATCGAGACTGTGTGTGTGTGTGTGTGTGTGTGTGTGTGTGTGTGTGTGTGTGTGTGTGTCACTGCCTTTACAATGAATACCATTAAAACAGAAAGTCTAATCCAGGTTTTTCTTCCTCTTCTGTGAAATTTTTCCTAACCTCTCTCAACACAGTGAATCACTTTCATCTACTAGTATTGTGTTCTTTTCTTGCTTCTATTATTGCAATTAGTACTAATTCCAACACAACTAAAGTCACAAACAGTGAAGTAAATACATTTTAATATCTAATTCGATTAAAAAGGTATGGATTGATCTTTAACACCTATTGCTAAATGAAAGAAGTCAGTATGAAAAGCCTACAGACAGAATGATTCCATTTAGATGATATTATGGGAAAGGCAAAACTATAAAAATGATTAATAGATCAATAGTTATCAGGGATTTGGGGCTATGAGGAGAGTTTATTAGGTGAAAAACAGGGAATTTTTTTAGAGCAGTGATACTATTGTGATGGTGAACACATGATATTATGCATTGTCAAAACTAATGGAATTTTAGATCACAAAGAATGAACCATAATACATGCAAATTTTTAAAAAAATCATTTGAAGGAATGCAGACTGTGACAAAATAATTGAATCATATTACAAATGTATAAATGTATATAAGTATAACAGAACTGCACCGAAGGGAGTGGAAGAAAAAGTTGCTGACCTAATTAACTTTGGAGCCTGTAACACTAAAGGCAAAAGGAACTATATGCAAGCACTGTACTCTAGTTGATAAAGTTGTTTAAAGCATTGTATATGTATACTGGAATTAAAAAATTAAATAAATGCATGGCAGATAGCAAATGCCAGGTTTCTCACTGCTGAAGTGCGAAATTACAGATAAGCACAGGGAGAAGGCTAAAATGATCCATATAACAGTGGATGAAAATTAAAGACATTAGCCCTCTCCCTCTCCCTCCCCCTCCCCCTCCCCCTCTCCCGCTCCCTCTCCCCACGGTCTCCCTCTCCCTCTCCCCACGGTCTCCCTCTCCCTCTCTCCACAGTCTCCCTCTGATGCCGAGCTGAAGCTGGACGGTACTGCTGCCTGATTCTCCTGCCTCAGCCTGCCGACTGCCTGCGATTGCAGGCGCGTGCCGCCACGCCTGACTGGTTTTCGTATTTTTTTGGTGGAGACGGGGTTTCGCTGTGTTGGCTGGGCTGGTCTCCAGCTCCTAACCGCGAGTGATCCGCCAGCCTCGGCCTCCCAAGGTGCCGGGATTGCAGACGGAGTCTCGTTCACTCAGTGCTCAATGGTGCCCAGGCTGGAGTGCAGTGGCGTGATCTCGGCTCGCTACAACCTTCACCTCCCAGCAGCCTGCCTTGGCCTCCCAAAGTGCCGAGATTGCAGCCTCTGCCCGGCCGCCACCCCGTCTGGGAAGTGAGGAGCGTCTCTGCCCGGCCGCCATCCCATCTAGGAAGTGAGGAGCGCCTCTTCCCGGCCGCCATCCCATCTGGGAAGTGAGGAGCGTCTCTGCCCAGCCGCCCATCGTCTGAGATGTGGGGAGCACCTCTGCCCTGCCGCCCCGTCCGGGATGTGAGGAGCGTCTCTGCCCGGCCGCCCCGTCTGAGAAGTGAGGAGACCCTCTGCCTGGCAACCGCCCCGTCTGAGAAGTGAGGAGCCCCTCCGCCTGGCAACCGCCCCGTCTGAGAAGTGAGGAGCCCCTCCGCCCAGCAGCCGCGCCATCTGAGAAGTGAGAAGCCCCTCCGCCCAGCAGCCACCCCGTCTGGGAAGTGAGGAGCGTCTCCGCCCGGCAGCCACCTCGTCCGGCAGGGAGGTGGGGGGGTCAGCCCCCCGCCCGGCCAGCCGCCCCGTCCGGGAGGTGAGGGGCGCCTCTGCCCGGCCGCCCCTACTGGGAAGTGAGGAGCCCCTCTGCCTGGCCGGCCGCCCCGTCCGGGAGGGAGGTGGGGGGGGGTCAGCCCCCCGCCCGGCCAGCCGCCCCATCTGGGAGGTGAGGGGTGCCTCTGCCCAGCCGCCCCTACTGGGAAGTGAGGAGCCCCTCTGCCCGGCCACCACCCCGTCTGGGAGGTGTACCCAACAGCTCATTGAGAACGGGCCATGATGACGATGGCGGTTTTGTGGAATAGAAAGGGGGGAAGGGTGGGGAAAAGATTGAGAAATCGGATGGTTGCCGTGTCTGTGTAGAAAGAGGTAGACATGGGAGACTTTTCATTTTGTTCTGTACTAAGAAAAATTCTTCTGCCTTGGGATCCTGTTGATCTGTGACCTTACCCCCAACCCTGTGCTATCTGAAACATGTGCTGTATCCACTCAGGGTTGAATGGATTAAGGGCGGTGCAAGATGTGCTTTGTTAAACAGATGCTTGAAGGCAGCATGCTCCTTAAGAGTCATCACCACTCCCTAATCTCAAGTACCCAGGGACACAAACACTGCGGAAGGCCGCAGGGTCCTCTGCCTAGGAAAACCAGAGACCTTTGTTCACTTGTTTATCTGCTGACCTTCCCTCCACTATTGTCCTGTGACCCTGCCAAATCCCCCTCTGCGAGAAACACCCAAGAATGATCAATAAAAAATAATAATAATAATAAATTATATATATATATAAAAAAGAAAAGAAAATTAAAGACAGTATAAATTTCTGTTTAGCTTAATACAGACACAGATTGGATATACATAGAAATACTCATAGATATGTGTATTTATAGGGATTACATACACACATATATTTCCTTGATTTTTCAGGTGAGAGGGCTTAGAAGCAATGACATCGCAGCAGTGATAAGCATACCTAGTGTCCAAATTTTGGTTTTTAATACCATTTTCCAATAAAAGGGACCAAAGCTCCTTGGGGGGAATGGCTGATCCTAGAACTCAGGCAGGAAATAAATAAGATGAGCCTGGAGCATCTTGCAGTACTGGAATGCAAAAAAATGTTACACACACATACACACACACACACACACACACACACACACTAATGGGAGTATGTCAAAGGGATACAGGAGCCAAATGAAAGAGCTTAGTGGACAAAGTTGGAACAATTTGAGCAATAAAATTAAGTACTGTTGAATTATAATACCATACTGATACAAATTATTAAAAATTACTAAATAAATAAATGGGGATTATAAATTTCTCATGAGGAAACATTCCAAATAATTTATGTAGATACTCCACCCTCAAGAGATGGAGTATAATTTCTCAATCTTTTTTTTTCTTATACTTTAAGTTCTAGGGTACACCTGCACAAAGTGCAGGTTTGTTACATAGGTATACATGTGCCATGCTGGTTTGCTGCACCCACTAACATGTCATTTACATTAGGCATTCCTTCTAATATTATCCCTTCCCCTGCCCCCCATCCCACGACAGGCCCCGGTGTGTGATGTTCCCTGCCCAGTGTCCAAGTGTTCTCATTGTTCAATTCCCACCTATGAGTGAGAACATGCAGTGTTTGGATTTCTATCCTTGTGACAGTTTGTGCAGAATGATGGTTTCCAGCTTCATCCATGTCCCTGCAAAGGACATGAGCTCATCCTTTTTTATGGCTGCATAGTATTCCATGGTGTATATGTGCCACATTTTCTTAATCCAGTCTATCATTGATGGACATGTGCGCTGGTTCCAAGTCCTTGCTACTGTGAATAGTGCCACAATAAACACATGTGTGCATGTGTCTTTATAGTAGCATGATTTATACTCCTTTCGGTATATATCCAGTAATGGGCTGGCTGGGTCAAATGGTATTTCTAGTTCTAGATCCTTGAGGAATTGCCACACTGTCTTCCACAATGGTTGAACTAGTTTACACCCCCACCAACAGTGTAAAAACATTCCTATTTTTCCACATCCTCTCCAGCATCTGTTGTTTCCTGACTTTTTAATGATCACCATTCTGACTGGTGTGAGATGATATTTCATTGTGGTTTTGATTTGCATTTCTCTGATGACCAGTGATGATGAGCATTTTTTCACGTGTCTGTTGGCTGCATAAATGTCTTCTTTTGAGAAGTGTCTGTTCATATCCTTTGACCACTTTTGGATGGGGTTGTTTGTCTTTTTCTTGTAAATTTGTTTGAGTTCTTTGTAGATTCTGGATATTAGCCCTTTGTAAGATGGGTAGATTGCAAAAATTTTCTCCCATTCTGTAAGTTGTCTGTTCACTCTGATGGTAGTTTCTTTTCCTGTGCAGAATTTCTTATAGTTTAATTAGATCACATCTGTCTATTTTGGCTTTTGTTGCCATTGCTTTTGGTGTTTTAGTCATGAAGTCCTCGCCCATGCCTATGCCCTGAATGGTATTGCCTAGGTTTTCTTCTAGGGTTTTTATGGTCTTAGGTCTAACATTTAAGTCTTTAATTCATCTTGAATTAATTTTTGTATAAGGTGTAAGGAAAGGATCCCGTTTCAGCTTTCTACATATGGCGAGCCAGTTTTCCCAGCACCATTTATTAAATAGGGAACCCTTTCCGAATTTCTTGTTTTTGTCAGGTATGTCACAGATGAGATGATTGCAGATGTGTAGTGATATTTCTGAGGCCTCTGTTCTTTTCCTTTGGTCTATATATCTGTTTTGCTACCAGTACCATGCTGTTTTGGTTACTGTGGCCTTGTAGTATAGTTTGAAGTCAGGTAGTTTGATGCCTCCAGCTTTGTTCTTTTGGCTTAGGATTGTCTTGGCCATGTGGGCTCTTTCTTGGTTCCATATGAACTTTAAAGTAGTTTTTTCCAATTCTGTGAAGAAAGTCATTGGTAGCTTGATGGGGATGGCATTGAATCTGTAAATTACCCTGGGCGGTATGGCCATTTTCACAATATTGATTCTTCCTATCCATGAGCATGGAACATTCTTCCATTTGTTTACGTCCTCTTTTATTTCATTGAGCAATGGCTTCTAGTCCTCCTTGAAGAGGTTTTTCACATCCCCGGTAGTTGGATTCCTAGGGATTTTAATTCTCTTTGTAGCAACTGTGAACGGGAGTTCACTCATGATTTGGCTCTCTGTTTGTCTGTTATTGATGTATAGGAATGCTTCTGATTTTTGCACATCAATTTTGTATCCTGAGACTTTGCTGAAGTTGCTTATCAGTTAAAGGAGATTTTAGGCTGAGATGATGGGGTTTTCTAAATATACAGTCATGTCATCTGCAAACAGGGACAATTTGACTTCCTCTTTTCCTAATTGAATACCCGTTATTGCTTTCCCTTGCCTGATTGCCCTGGCCAGAACTTCCAACACTATGTTGAATAGGAGTGGTGAGAGAGGGCATCCCTGTCTTGTGCCAGTTTTCAAAGGGAATGCTTCCAGTTTTTGCCCATTCAGTATGATATTGGATGTGGGTTTGTCATAAATAGCTCTTATTATTTTGAGATACATCCCATCAATACCTAATTTATTGAGAGTTTTTAGCATGAAGGGCTATTGAATTTTGTCAAAGGCCTTTTCTGCATCTACTGAGATAATCATATGGTTTTTGTCTTTGGTTCTGTTTATGCTGGATTACATTTATTGATTTGCATATGTTGAACCAGCCTTGCATCCCAGGGATGAAGCCCACTTGTTCATGGTGGATAAGCTTTTTGATGTGGTGCTGGATTTGGTTTGCCAGTATTTTATTGAGGATTTTTGCATCGATGTTCATCAGGGATATTGGTCTAAAATTCTCTTTTTTCATTGTGTCTCTGCCAGGCTTTGGTATCAGGATGATGCTGGCCACATAAAATGAGTTAGGGAGGATTCCCTCTTTTTCTTGATTGGAACAGTTTCAGAAGGAATGGTACCAGCTCCTCTTTGTACCTCTGGTAGAATTCGGCTGTGAATCCCTCTGTTCCTGGACTTTTTTGGTAGGTAGGATATTAATTATTGCCTCAATTTCAGAGCCTGTTATTGGTTTATTCAGAGATTCAAGTTCTTCCTGTTAGTCTTGGGAGGGTGTATGTGTCCAGGAATTTATCCATTTCTTCTAGATTTTCTAGTTTATTTGCGTAGAGGTGTTTATAGTATTCTCTGATGGTAGTTTTTTTTTTTGTGGGATCAATGGTGATATCCTCTTTATCATTTTTTATTGTGTCTATTTGATTCTTCTCTCTTTTCTTCTTTATTAGTCTTGCTAGTAGTCTATCAATTTGTTGATCTTTTCAAAAAAAACAGCTCCTGGATTCATTGATTTTTTGAAGGGCTTTTTGTGTCTCTATTCTGTTTTAGTTCTGCTCTGATCTTAATTATTTATTGCCTTCGGCTAGCTTTGGAATATGTTTGCTTTTGCTTCTCTAGTTCTTTTAATTGTGATGTTAGGGTGTCAATTTTAGATATTTCCTGCTTTCTCTTGTGGGCATTTAGGGCTATCAATTTCCCTCTACACATGCTTTAAACTTGTTCCAGAGATTCTGGTACGTTGTGTCTTTTTTCTCATTGGTTTCAAAGAACATCTTTAATTCTGCCATCATTTTGTTATTTACCCAGTAGTCATTTAGGAGCAGGTTTTCAGTTTCCATGTAGTGGTGCAGTTTTGAGTGAGTTTTTTAATCTTGAGTTCTAATTTGATTGCACTGTGGTCTGAGAGACAGCTTGTTGTGATTTCTGTTCTTTTACATTTGTTGAGGAGTGCTTTACTTCCACGTATGTGGTCAATTTTGGAATAAGTGTGATGTGGTGCTGAGAAGAATGTATATTCTGTTGATTTGGGGTGGAGAGTTCTGTAGATATCTATTAGGTCCGCTTGTTGCAGAGCTGAGTTTAAGTCCTGGATATCCTTGTTAACCTTCTGTCTCATTGATCTGTCTAATATTGACAGTGGGGTGTTAAAGTCTTCCATTATTACTTGTGGGAGTCTAAGTTTCTTTGTAGGTCTCTAAGGACTTGCTTTTTGAATCTGGGTGCTCCTGTATTGGGTGCATATATATTTAGGATAGTTAGCACTTGTTGTTGAATTGATCCCTTTACCATTATGTAATGGCCTTCTTTGTCTCTTTTGATCTTTGTTGGTTTAAAGTCTGTTTTATCAGAGACTAGAATTGCAACCCCTGCTTTTTTTTGCTTTCGATTTGCTTCGTAGATCTCCCTCCATCCCTTTATTTTGAGCCTATGTGTGTCTCTGCACGTGAGATGGGTCTCCTGAATACGGCACACTGATGGGTCTTGACTCTTTAACGAATTTGCCAGTCTGTATCTTTTAATTGGAGCATTTAGCCCATTTACATTTAAGGTTAATATTGTTCTGTGTGAATTTGATCCTGTCATTTTGATGTTAGCTGACTATTTTGCCTGTTAGCTGATGCCATTTCTTCCTAGCATCGACAGTCTTTACAATTTGGCCTGTTTTTGCAGTGGCTGGTACTGGTTGTTCCTTTCCATGTTTAGTGCTTCCTTCAGGAGCTCTTGTAAGGCAGGCCTGATGGTGACAAAATCTCTCAGCATTTGCTTGTCTGTAAAGAATTTTATTTGTCCTTCACTTATGAAGCTTAGGTTGGCTGGATATGAAATTCTGGGTTGCAAATTATTTTCTTTAAGAATGTTGAATATTGGCCCCCACTCTCTTCTGGCTTGTAGAGTTTCTGCCAAGAGATCCACTGTTAATCTGATGGGCTTTCCTTTGTGGGTAACCAGACCTTTCTCTCTGGCTGCCCTTAACATTTTTTCCTTCATTTCAACCTTGGTGAATCTGACAATTATGTGTCTTGGGGTTGCTCTTCTCGAGGTGTATCTTTGTGGTGTTCTCTGTATTTCCTGAGTTTAAATGTTGGCCTCCCTTGCTAGGTTGGGGAAGTTCTCTTGGATAATATCCTGAAGAGTGTTTTCCTACTTGGTTCCATTCTCCCCATCACTTTCATGTACACCAATCAAACATAGATTTGGTCTTTTCACATATTCCCATATTTCTTGGAGGTTTTGTTTGTTTCCTTTTACTCCTTTTTCTCTAAACTTCTCTTCCCACTTTATTTCATTTATTTGATCTTCAATCACTGATACCCTTTCTTCCACTTGATTGAATCAGCTATTGAAGCTTTTGCATGCATCACGTAGTTCTTGTGCCATGGATTTCAGCTCCATCAGGTCATTTAAGGTCTTCTCTACGCGTTTATTCTAGTTAGTCATTCATCTAATCTCTTTTCAAGGTTTTTTGCTTCCTTGTGATGGGTTCGAACATCTTCCTTTAGCTCGGAGAAGTTTGTTATTACCCATGTTCTGAAGCCTACTTCTGTCAGCTCATCAAAGTCATTCTCCATCCAGCTTTGTTCCATTGCTGGTGAGAAGCTGCAATCCTTTAGAGGACAAGAGGTGCTGTGGTTTTTAGAATTTTCAGCTTTTCTGCTCTGATTTCTCCCCATCTTTGTGGTTTTATCTACCTTTGGTCTTTGATGTTGGTGACCTAGAGATGGGGTTTTGGTGTGGATGTCCTTTTTGTTGATGTTGATGCTATTCCTTTCTGTTTGTTAGTTTTCCTTCTAACAGTAAGGTCCCTCAGCTGCAGGTCTGTTGGAGTTTGCTGGACATCGACTCCAAACACTGTTTGCCTGGGTATCACCAACGCAGGCTGCAGAAGAGCAAATATTGCAGAGCAGCAAATATTTCTGCCTGATCCTTCCTCTGGAAGCTTCATCCCAGAGGGGCACCCACCTGTATGAGGTGTCAGTCGGCCCTTACCAGGTGGTGTCTCCCATTTAGGCTACACAGGGGTCAGGGACTCACTTAAGGAGGCAGTCTGTCCATTCTCAGAGCTCAAACACTGTGCTGGGAGAAGCACTGCTCTCTTCAGAGCTGTCAGAGAGGCGCGTTTAAGCCTACAGAAGTTTCTGCTGCCTTTTGTTCAGCTATGCCCTGCCCCTAGAGGTGGAGTTTACAGGAGCAGCAGGTCTTGCTGACCTGCAGTGGGCTCCACCCAGTTTGAGCTTCCTGGCTGCTTTGTTTACCTACTCAAGCCTCAGCAATGGTGGACGCACCTCCCCCTGCCAGGCTGCTACCTTGCAGGTGGATCTCAGACTGCTGCACTAGCAGTGAGCAAGGCTCCGTGGGCAAGCGACCCACCAAGCCAGGCACAGGATATAATCTCCTGGTGTGCTGTTTGCTAAGACCATTTGAAAAGCACAGTATTTGGGTGAGAGAGTCCCAATTTTCCAGGTACAGTCTGTCATGGCTTCCCTTAGCTAGGAAAGGGAAATCCCCTGACCTCTTGTGCTTCCCAGGTGAGGCGATGCCCTGCCCTGCTTCAGCTCACCCTCTGTGGGCTGCACCCACTGTCCAACCAGTTCCAATGAGATGAACCAGGTACCTCAGTTGGAAATGCAGAAATCACCCATCTTTTGCGTCGATCACGCTAGGAGCTGTAGACCAGAGCTGTTCCTATTTGGCCATCTTCTATTCCTTTATAATTCCTCACTCTTTAAGTGTAGAGTACACATGGTGCCTGTCTTGCAAATAGTACAATACAGAAAGGTGAAGAAAAGCTTAACTTTACAGTGAAGAAACCTGACAAATACTACCCTAGCCAACGAATTAGTGTTAAAATTAACAGTGATAGGTCATGTTAATAATATGTATCCCTGATATGATGTGATGAGAAGGGCACTTTACCTCTGTGGTCTTCTTTCCCAAAACCCATACCCACAGACTAATAATGAGAGAAACATCAGAACAAACCCAACTGAGGCACATGCCACAAAATACCTGACCAGTTCTTTTCAAAAATATCAGTCTTCAAAACAAGAAAAGTCTGAAAAACTATTACGGCCAAGGAGATCCTAAGGAAACTTGACAATTAAATGTAATGTGGTGTCTTGGATGGGATCCTAGAACAGATAAAGGACATAAGGTTAAAACTAAGAAAATCTAACCAGGCTATAGACTTTAGTTAATAATAACATGTCATGATTGGTTCATTAATTTTGACCAACAGACCACATAAATATAAAATAATAATAGGAGAAATCATGTGTGGAGTATATGGGAACTCTCAGTACTACCATCCTAATTTTTCTATAAATCTATGACTATTCTAAAATCTAAAGTTTATTTTAAAAAGTAATTAGCAATTTCAGCCAAATACTCTGTCCATGAGACAGGCAGGGTGATGTAGATGGAAAACTTCTGAACTCATAGTCAACACCAAGATCTTCTTTCAAGTATACTGCTTGTCATAAAGAACTCTCAGCTACAGATTGTGACTGTGCCACAAAGCAGCCGCATAGCTTTGGAACCTGAATCTGTATTCTCAATTTTAAAATGAGGAGTTCAGTAGATGATCTCCAAGGCCCAGACCTTAAATTCCAGCATTTTTATCAGAGATAAATTCAAGATCTGTTTCACTACCTACGTACATTTTAGGAAAAGCCTCTTGACCTCCTGCATTCTCAGTTTTGCCCGCTTTAAACTCAGAAGACTAAAATAAATAATATTTAAAGACACATCCTGCTCTACAAATCTTCAGCAACCACGTTTCACTGTTTCTGTCAACTTTAGTTCACTTTAGCCACCTGACCCACCTCATAACACTACCAATTATTTCAGGCCATAATTTAGACTGAAGTCTTCATGAGAACAAAGAGTAGTTTAATTTTGCTCACAGTGGTGTCCCTAGGGCCCACAACAGTGCTTGGCATTTAATTGACACTGAATTAATATTTGTGCAATGAACAATGAATGTTTAATTTTCAAAATCATGCTTACACTAAAGAGGAAACAGAAAACTGCAACTCTCCCACAAAGACACCCAGAAGGAAAGAGCCAAGAGGGTATGTCCATGAAACCAAAGAGCTTTATCATAGTAACAATATCATCCTGCTGAAAAATCACAATCATTTTGAAAACTGCCTCTTTACAAAGCAGGGTTATTAATAAGGTTATAAATTCCTTATCACTTTCTTACTGAGACAGAACAACTGAGAGAAGACATTCAGAAGAAAAACACAACCTAGAAAGCCCCATCTCTAGTCATAAAGACTACCAGTTGTGTGAGCACAAACTTTACCAGAGGATTATAAAATGAATAAAGTAATATTTTCCACAAGAAAAACATAGGCTGTTAGAAAGATATCAGACATATTGCTTAATTGTGGATTTGAGAGCAAACAAGCCAATGGGGAAAGTGATACATTAAGTTTGGGGTAGTAAAAAGTAATGAAAAGAGAGCAGGAAAGAAAGGAAGAAAACATTTATGTTTTACTATGAATATTTCACTACATCTATTTTAGACTTTGGCCTCTAGCAGTGTTCTTAAAGTGCAAGCTTTGACCCAACCTCTTACATCAGAATGGCAAGGGACGACAGAAAAATAAAGATTCCTGAATGCCACTCCTGACCTACTGAATCTGAATCACAGGGGAAGAGGCCTGGCAATCTGAATTCTTAATAAGCTGCCCAGGTAATCTTACATACAACTGTGCAGAAGTGCTGCTATAGTAAGTTGTGATAATCTCTCTAGGGAAAAAAAATGCTTGTTTACACAAGGCATATAACTCTCTCAGACAATCAGGATGTCATTCAGCATACTGGAAATGATAAATACCCAAACACGTTCTATAATTTTGGAAGCATAGAAAAATAATAAAAAATAATAATAAAGGTTAATTTGAGGTTAATTTAAGCTCACAGAGATAAAGAAGGGCATTTTACTTCGAGCTCACAATGGAACTAAACCACATAGATAAGGAAAAGTAATTTTTACAAGATTTGACATAAAAACTTAAAATATTTAGTTCTAATTTCAGTATATTGTAATCAAACCACAAATTTTATTTGAATTCATCTATTCTAACATTGTGATTAAACACATATTATGCCTCAATTGGTTTAATTAGAATGGTTTAATGGCTTAATTTTGGGGTACAGAGTTTGACAGAGAAAGAAGTATGATTAGGATGATGTCTGTGAGCATTTTTTTTTTCTTGAGATAGGATCTTGCTCTGTCCCCCAGGTTGGAGTGCAGTGGCGCGATCTCAGCTCACTGCACCTCCCAGGTTCAAGTGATTCTCCTGCCTCAGCCTCCTGAGTAGCTGGGACTACAGGTGCACACCACCACAGATGGACAATTTTCATATTTTTAGTAGAGACAGGATTTCATCATGTTGGCCAGCCTGGTCTCGAACAGCTGACCTCAAGCGATCCACCCATCTCGGCCTCCCAAAGTGCTGGGATTACAAGCGTGAGCCACACACACTGTGAGCATTTTTATTGAGCATAGCACTCATGGGCCATACCTATGAAGCAAAATTTATGTTAAAATTAGTTGAAATTTGATTAGAATTTGCTGTTTCTAAGGAATGTTCGAGTTACTCTTGGACTTCATTTCTCTTTATTCTTTTTTTGACACAGGGTCTCACTCTGTCACCCAGACTGGGAGTGCAATGGCAGGATGATAGCTCACTGCAGCCTCAAACTCCTGGGCTCAAGCCAGCCTCCTGTCTCAGCCTTCTGAGAAGCTAGGACTATAGGTGCACACTACCACACCTGCCTAATTTTCTTTTTTTCATTTTTTGTAGAGACTATGTTGCCAATCTCACTATGTTGCCAACGCTGGTCTTGAACTTCCAGAGTAAAGGGATCTTCCTGCCTGGCTTCTGAAAATGCTGGGATTACAGGTGTGAGACCCTATGCTTGGCCTTTTTTCACCTTATTCTTTTTATATGCGTTTAGCATGTAATGATATTATCATAAATGGCACCTGGGACTCAGGAAAACATATTTAATTCATGTATTCTGTGAACATGAGATTATTTAATCTATTTACAACTGGAGCATCCTAAGGACTCAAGTTTATCTAAAGAGGCAGTTTTGGAGACCTGGCTTTTGTTTTTGAAACCAATCCTAACACAGTTTCTGTAAGTAGATGAGGATGAGTATACCTGTTTTAACAGTGGGAGACTGGAAATCATAAACCCCAAATATCATAGTGATTCATTCAATTATCTATCTGATAATTCACCAGAATATGCACAATTTCTGTTCCCATGTTTTTTCTTAGCATTAAACCACTTCCTCATAGTCAAAAGTATTAAAACCTGTAAGAGTGTTGCTCACTGAACAACTCATCTTAGTCTGGACCACTGGCTACCCTGAAAGCAAAGTTTCCTGATTCTTATCTTAACAGAAGATTTTCGCTGGAAAGTATAAAACAGGAGCAATGAGTAGTTTATTTTAATATAGTATTAAGTATTGGTTTGATCAACTTTAAAACTTATTGTCTTAGTTAGAAAAGTGAAAGGAATGTGCAAGTCCTATCCACCTAGAATAGAGTTCAAAGTCCACTTTTGACTGAAGTGTAAGCTCTTCAAAGGAGCCTGTCTCCTTCATTGTTGAATTCCACAATATCTAACATAGTACTGTGTATACAGCAGAGCTCAATAAATATTTGTTGACTTGACATCATATATTCACTTTATAAATTCTTAACTATTCTGTTGTCCTTGAAAATAGTTCAAGAAAGTTCTTAAAATAAGTTTACTATAGGGCCTCCTTAATTTTAGTGCTCACTTCGGCAGCACATATACTATAGGGCCCCCTTAATTTTAAAAGATTCCTAGAGTCCTGAAATATATGTAGGAATGAAGAGTTATTTTTGTTTTATTTATTTGTTGTGGCACATCCATGGTACAAGAGAATATAGTCAGGCTCTCCAGAGAAAGAGAACCAGTAGGATCTATAGATATTTAAAAGAATTTCGTGGGCCAGGAGCAGTGGCTCACGCCTATAATCCCAGCACTTTGGGAGGCCGAGGCAGGCGGATCACGAGGTCAGGAGATTGAGACCATCCTAGCAAACACTGTGAAACCCCGTCTCTATTAAAAACACAAACAAAATTAGGCGGGTGTGGTGGCAGGCCCCTGTAGTCCCAGCAACTCAGGAGGCTGAGGCAGGAGAATGGCATGCACCCAGGGGGCGGAGCTTGCAGTGAGGAGAGATCGCGCCAGTGCACTGCAGCCTGGACGACAGAGCGAGACTCTGTCTCAAAATATATATATATATATATATATATATATATATATATATATATATATATATATATATATATTTTGTGGTATCAGCTCACAGGGTTATGGAGCCTTGAGAAGTCCCACCATCTGCGATCTGTAAGCTGGAGGCCCAGGAAAGCCAGTGGTGTAGTGTCAGTCCAAACTCAAAAGTCTGAGAACCAGGGGAGCCAATATTGGAAGTCCCAGTTTGAGTCCAAAGGCCCAAGAACTAGAAGCACCAATGTCTGAGGGCAGGAGAAGGTGGATGTTCCAGATCAATACAAGACAGCAAATCCACCCTTTCTCTGGCTTTTTGTTCTATTTGAGCCCTTGATGAACTGAATGATGCCTACCTGCATTGGTGAGGGAGGATCATTTGTACTCAGTCTACTGATTCAAATGTGAATCTTCCCTAACACCCTTATAGAAACACCCAGAAATAATGTTTTACTAGCTATCTGGGCATCCATTAGCCCAGTCAAATCACTACATAAAATTAACTTCATAAAGAGTGGCACGTACTTAATTTTCAGACCATTCTTCAGTAAGCAAAATTTATGTTAAAATTAGCTGAAATTGCCGGGCGCGGTGGCTCATGCCTGTAATCCCAGCACTTTGGGAGGCCCAGGTGGGTGGATCATGAGGTCAGGAGTTCAAGACCAGCCTGACCAACATGATGAAACCCCTTCTCTACTAAAAATACAAAAATTAGCCAGGTGTGGTGGTGCGTGCCTGTAATCCCAGCTACTCAGGAGGCTGAGGCAGGAAAATTGCCTGGAGCCAGGAGACGGAGGGTGCAGTGAGCTGAGATTGCGCCATCGCACTCCAGCCTGGGCAACAGAGAGAGAGTGAGACTCCGTCTCAAAAAAAAAAAAAAAAAAAAAAATTAGTTGAAATCTGATTAGAATTTGCTGTGTTTGAACTATAGGTTTGTAACTTTGATTAAATTCAGCATTTCTAAGTGATTAAGTAAATGAAATAAATGCTGGAATTTCTGAAAAAGCAATTATAATCAAGGAAAACATTTTTCACCTAGTTCTTCAAGATAAAATGGCAATATTGGAGTTATTCCAATTACAATAGTTCAAGAAAAAATCCTGATTGCTATCTCTTGTATTGGGTGGTAATACCACATAAGAATACTTCAGACAGTGGAAATACAATAGTAGGAGCAAAGAGTATGCAAATAAAAACCTCGGTAGCAAATTTTTGGAATGAAGTTTATTTGCTCTGTGCAGAAATGCTTCTACATTTTTAAAAAATTTGAACATATGTGCAAACAGACACCAACTTAAGGTACTGAAAAAGATAATGAAGTTAATAAAGGAACAAGAGTTTGGTAGTTCTATGTTTGATAATATAATTTTGGAGGTTTAATTTGATTTTTCTAAAAATTGTGCTTTCATATTAACATCTTATTATTTATCATTCTTCATTCTGCAAGTGTACTATGTTCCAGTAAAAGGCTTCACGTGCATCTATTATTGATGGGAGTATAAACACAACCATTCTGGAAGACAATTTTACTGGGACTCTCAACTTTTCAAATGCACATGCCTTTTGTTCCAACAATTCCACCTCTAATTTGGTCTTTCATAACTTATTTGCACATGTGCATAATGTTAGGTGTACAGATTTTTTCACTGGAATGTTTTTTAACAGCAAAGAGCTAGCAATAACATTTAGACCTATCAATAGGGAACTTGTTAGATATATGAAGTTGCATGCTATGGACATGGGTTTCTATTATTTTCATTATCTTATTTTTTAAAATTTTAGATTCAGGGCGTACATGTGCTTGTTTGTCACATGGGTATATGGCATACTGGTGGGGACTGGGTTTCTAGTGTACTCATTGCCCAAATAGTAAAGATTGTACACACATTTTCATCATTTTATTCTCTACTCTTGTCTGGATGTTGAATATTTTGTAATATGAATACTCTTAAAAAGTAAAAAAAACATGTGATGGATTGAGTCTATGAAATTCCACACCACTCTAAAAGAATAGTGTAAATCTATGTCCATTCACTTGAAATTATTTCAACGATAGGTTGCTAAGCAAGTCACAGAACATACATAGTATGATCGAGTCACATAAACAAAAAATCAAACATATGTAGGGAAGGAATGGGGTGAGTATGGAAAGAGATCTGCAAGATATGCACCAAATTATTTATTATGGCTGCCTTTTGGGTTTGAGATTGGTGTGGGGAGAGGCAGTATATTAAGATTTTGACTTTTTACTTTATGAATCTTTGTATTATTTATTTTTTTCTTTTTAATAAGCAGGCATTACTTTTTTTTTTTTGAGATGGAGTCTCGCTGTTGTCACCCACACTGGAGTGCAGTGGCGCAATCTTGGCTCACTGCAACCTCTGCCTCCCGGGTTCAAGTGATTCTCCTGCCGCAGCCTCCTGAGTAGCTAGGATTACAGGCACCCGCCACCAGGCCCGGCTAATTTTTGTACTTTTAGTAGAGACAGGGTTTCGCCATGTTGGCCTCGAACTCCTGACCTCAGGTGATCCGCCCACCTTGGCTTCCCAAAGTGCTGGGATTACAGGTGTGATCCACTGCGCCCGGCCGCATGCATTACTTTTGTTTTGCTTTTTATAAAAATAATGAAAGGAGGAAAAATAAGGGGCTCTAGTAATTTGTCAGCCTACATTTTTTCTAAAATGAATTAGTTTTAGAAATTCAGATGAAAATTTAGAATAAAATAACTTGTCAGATTTAGAAAATCAGATGTACATACTATTGTAACTGAGAGGACATGTGGAAATAATTTGAAGAAGTGGACTAAGCATCTACATTTATATCTTATTCTGTTATGATTATAGCATTGATGTAGTAATTGTTTATATAAGTTACATACATTGACTCAAGTGTTGTTAATAAAACTAATAAATCAACCATTAAGAAGCACCTACATATAATTTACGTTGCTTAAATTTAAACTGGATTTCAATTAAATACAGTGGACACTAGACAAGAAATTCCAGTTGTAACTGAGAAGGTAATTTTGTCCAATTTCAGACAAGAGGATAACTTCTGAGGTTGGTTGGCTTTTCTTTCATACATTGATAGGTAATAGTTTTAACCTGCATTTTACCTGTCAGAGATGTTGTTAATGGCAGGATCATGTAGGATCATGTCTTATTCATCTACCTCCACCTAGCTCAGACTCTGATACATAGAAGTGCTCAATACTTCATTAAGTTGGTTTTTTTCCCCTGCTATTATAAGTTGCATTTTAAATCTTCTCACATGAATTCTTTTTAAAGGACATTTGATCCAAAATCCTATAATAATACATTGTAAATTAACACTGATTTTGACCTAAAATTTTTTAAATTCTGAATCCTGAAGTTTTCTTTATAGCCAAATTACAAATTTGGTTAATCCAGGGTAAAAGACCTCATTTCATACTAATGATGCTGCCGCCTCACTCTCTATTCTCCAACCACACTTGCCTTCTTCCAGGCTCTTGTACACATCAAGCTCATCACCAGCACAGGGCCATTTCATTGGTTTTCCTTTGTTCCCAGACTTCCACATGGCTAATGCCTTTATATAATTCAGGCCTGAACAGAAACATCACTTCCTTAGTGAAATTATTAATCAATTTAAAGTAGCTCTCAACACTCCCAGCCCAATTCCTACCCTTTCTAGTCTCTCTTGTTATGTAACCCTGTCTCACTGTTTTCAAAGCCTTCATCAATTACCTGAAATTATCTTGTTCATTTATTTGGCTCCTTTTATATTGACTCTCTCCCCTTCTTCCCTGATTGGAGGTAAATTCTATCACAGTGGAGGCCTTTCCTGTATTGTTCACTTTTGGATCTCCCATGCCTAGAATACTGAGTGTTCTACTCACAGAGGGCATTCAAAAAATCTGAGAATGCATATAGTAAATATGAAACAGCAAGTGCATGTCTGCACTGATCCCTTCCTTGGCTCCTTGAATTATTCCTGTCATAGCAAATACTTGATATTTCTAAATGATACACCCAACTTCCTCTAAAATCACTGAATTAACAGACCATAGCATACAATTTCATCAGTTTCCTCAATTATAAAACTGTTATACTACTATGCACCTACTTCAGAAGGTTGTCACGAAAATTAAGAAAGAACAGCAAATCCATGTTGTGTGGATGCAGAGGGCTCAGTTGGCTTACTGGCAAAATGCATGATATAAATATCTATACAAAAAAGGTATCAACTAAGGCCAAGCGCAGTGGCTCACGCCTGTAATCCTAACACTTCGGAAGGCCAAGGTGGGTAGATCATTTGAGCCCAGGAGTTCAAGACCAGCCTGGGAAACATGGGGAGACCCTGTCTCTACAAAAAATACAAAAATCAGCCGGGCATGATGGCACATGTCTGTAATCTCAGCTACTTGGGGACTGAGGCAGGAGGATTGCTTGAGCCCAGGAGGTTGAGGCTACGGTAAGCCAAGATTGTGCCACCACACTTCAGCCTGGGCAACAGAGTGAGATCGTGTCTCCCAAAAAATTAAAATATAAGGTATCAACTACTATTTCAAACCATGCATTTTGGGTGGGGTTGGGAGTAATGGCTGGTAGAATAAAAAATGTGCTGGTTATCAAAAAGTGTAAGACAGGCTAGTCACAGTGGTTCGCACCTGTAATCCCAGCACTTTGGGAAGCTAAGGTAGGAGGATGACTTGAGGCCAGAAGTTCAAGACCAGCCTAGGAAACATCGACAGACATTATCTCTACCAAAAATTAAAAATTAAGAAATTAACCAGGCATGGTGGCATGCCCTTGTAATCCCAACGACTTGGGAGACTGAAGCAGGGAGATCGCATGAGCCCAGGAGTTTGGTGTTACAATGAACTATGATCATGTCACTGCACTACAGCCTGGATGATAGAGCAAGACCCTCATTTAAAAACAACAACAACAAAAACAATGAAGTATGACAAAATAAGTGATAAGCTTCCTTTAATACATGATCTCTTAATGTACACCCAGCTTGGTGAGCAGTGTACCCTTGAAGAAAAGCTGAGTCTGTCTTCACTCAGGAAAGTAGACGTGGTTCATAAAAGATGAGAGTGGAAGGCACAACAAAGTTACTTGAGTAATTCTACTTCCAAATGTGAAAACCACATTATCTACATCATGGACTAAGTTTCTACCACCAAATGAAACAATGAATATTGAGCAAAGTCAATATGACTTGCATTTTAAAATAACTAAATTTCCTGACTAATTCAAATGAAAGTATGATCAGAGAAGACTATTTCATTTGTATTATATAGGCAAATCTATAGCTCTATAGCTTAAAAAGATAAATCAGAGAAACATTCTGATGTTAGCTATGACAAATGTGTCATCAAACCCGAGTGGCAAATAGGGAATGGTATGGCAGACCAAGTTAAAAGGTGATTTGGTATCATATGTCCTGGACAAGATGAATGTCAAAATAGTGTACCTTGGCAGAGTGTTTAATAGGAAAAAATGAATGCCCATGCTCCAAAGCCTCCACAGCCAAAATGGAGTAGTCCATTTTAATTTTCAGAGGAATTTGGTGAACAAATGACTGGATATCCACCAAACCTTGATGCTAATGAAAAATACAGTGCATTCTGAGAAAATCAATATATAGTTTGCCTGAAGGTATCCCAAAGGAAACATTCAGTTATTGAGGTTTAAAATATGTTAGCCCCAGAATAATAAAATTCTTGAATTGCAGGCGTTTGCAAGAACAGCAAAGGGGTTAAAGACATTTTATATTTTATCAAAGCTTTAAAACTGCTGTGCAGAGTTTTCATGCATTTCATATTTTTTCCTTGCTGCTGCTTCATGCAAAAGCCTTCACCAATTCCTGAGAGCTTTGCTCTACTGTTTAGACCTTCTTAATTTGTTCTTCAAATAAAATATCCTCAGTCCCACTCCTACCTGGCTTCCACAGGTTCACAGGGTTACTAAAGATTGGGTTGGAGGAATTGGGAGCACATCCTGAGGAACAGATATTTGTCACAATGTCTCAGGATTGTTTGTTGTTTTGTTTTATTTCGTTTTTGGAAAATAAATACTTTTTCAGCCAAACCACTTTGGGCTTTAATTTTGTTTATAAATCTTATTTTGTTCAATGACATGAAGAAAAATAGGGAATTCTCTATTTAAAAAAAATAAATGCAAGAAAAATGTCAAGATGCAAATATAAAAGGCTCAGACGGTCTCTGTAAGAAACAAACAAACAAACAAACAAACAAACAAAAAACCCTGAACTATAGGTTGGCAATTTAGCAGCTCAGTTTGTAGTAAATGATGATGTTAATTCAGATAGTAATCTAATTTGACCCTAGCAGTCTACACTTATGAGTTAATTCTTCAGTAATTGTTCAATAATCGTGAATTGAAGTCCTTCTTAGAGAGGTAAATAAGTATTTTGGACATAAATCAGACAAGGTAGTTTGATACATGCAACATACTACATTTCCCTTCTTTTGCCAAGTTACAAAACTATCAGTAGTTTGTCAAAGGGATGATTGAAGAAAAGCATTTGCCAAAAACTAATTTTACAGAACAATACTAAATGCAGTACAGAAGTATTTAAAAGTAGTATCAATTTAATAAACATTTTTCTTCGGATTAAAAAAGTATTTGAGCATACTGACAAGTACATTTTTGTCTTCTCCTGCAAATACTACTGAACTTGCTCTAATATTGGTAATGAGAATAACCATGTAAGAAGGTTTTTACAAAGTTAGCTTCATAATTATCTTTTAGTAATCACTTATAGCCTTTTGATCCATTGAGTCACAAACAGAAGCATTGGGATGGGATTTTCATATTCAGAATTCATCACAAAGAAACATCTTATAATTTATTTTGTCAGTGTAGCTCTAAGTCACTTATTCCTATCCTTTATTTTTGAACTCTTCGGAATGTTCCCAAGTTCGTTGGTACCATGAAAATTTCTTACATTTTCAAAACAAAATTTTTGTTCATTCTAAGAAAAAAAAGACTGGGCGCGGTGGCTCATGCCTGTAATCCCAGCACTTTGGGAGGCTGAGGCAGGTGGATCACCCAAGTAGTAGGAAAATATTTGCCATCCTCTGGTAGGTTTCATCAGTAAATCACCTACAGATGATATGAGGAGTGAACTCCTAAGTTGTATATCCCTCATATATGTGATGCTGAAATTGCGTTGAAATTTGTCCCTGAGATTTGTGCTGTTCTTTAGAAACTATGATAGCAAAAAATAGCACAAGATTCCCAGTCTTAATCCAATTGAAAATCTTACTTGAATTCGAGTCCACTCACTATGGTTTAGTTTAATACTATCAGTGAATGAAACAAAATATGACCATTTCTTTGGCAATTTTCAAAAAGAACTTCACTAAATACTTAAGAGAATAAAAAGAAAATTAACAAAAGACTATAATTGCCATGAACCCATGCAAATTATAACAGCTTCTGAATGATTTTTTTATTGCAGAAGAACTTCTTGTTATCTTACTTAGTCATTTAGGCTACATTAATCCATTTTCTCTCAGAAAAAAATATAATAAATGAAGTACATCAATATTGTAAAATATCAGCACTGAAAATTATCATAATGAAGACAAAAGTAAACTTTGACATGAAATGTGAATTTTTTTAAAAAATCTAATATAGATGTAATAAGAAATAGTAAGAAATCTACATGTTTTTATAGAATACATAAAAGTTTATAGTAAACATATATAACTTTTCATGAGTATTTAATACATATCATAGTATTACATAGAATACTACCTGGTTATAAAGTTGCTGCTTTCTGCCACATTAATGAATGACTATGACCTGGTATATATTTAAAAGGTAGCACTGCGTAATGGAAAGAACTGCTTTGAGAGCAAATACATCCGTGCTAGATATGACCACTTTCTAGTGGTATGGTAATGGACAAATTGTTTTTATTTCTATGAGGTTACTGTAAGGATTAAATAAGACAAAATATGCAAAACACTTGGTTCAGAGTCAGCTTCTAGCAATCAACAGTGTTTGTCTCATTTGCAACTCTCTTTCCTTAGGATGCATAGACATTTATTCCATTTTTTAAGATATTAACAACTAACCAATACAGTTGATGGTTTTGACAGACACCTATATTTTTAGAACAATGTCACACAATCTTCAGTGAATATCACAATCTAGCCTGAACCTGGCCATATCTGTCAAAGATAAACATTTTTTTTCAGAGCATGTTTGTTTGTTCATTAGACAAAAAAAATTAAGACCAACCTGTTAGTGGTTTTTGGAGTTAATGCTTTGATTTCTATCATGTCTATTTTTTATAACCTGTTAACTCATTTATTTCAAAAAATTGTATAAACAAAATTCAATCATAAATATAATAAAATATTGTGATTTTAATAACTTCTAGAAGATATCTTCATATAATTAAACAATATTTTTAAGGTATTAGGAAGGGATACATAAGTAAAATGCACTGAACAATTCAGTTGTCAATTAAAATCATTTTACAATTCAATGCTTGACTTGAAGCTAAATAATACTATTATAGAAAAGCAAATAAAGTTTCAAGTAATACTATGTAGAAGAAAGTAACACTCAGATCCAAAAATACTGTGAACTCTAAGTTAGTCTTATTTATTTACCTCAAAAGTCCCCCGATAGAATACTGAATTCAGAATAACATTGCGGATGAAGTTCTCAGTGTTTGCTTATTTTTTAAAATTATGACAGAGTTTTTCTGATCTTTCAATACTACAATCATTTTTTGCCCCAGCAATCCTTTTCTAGTTCTTAAAATACTCTGTGGAATGTACAATAAGGTTAAACATAACATTCTATCTTTGAGGTTTTCCTTGGGCAGAAGAAGAAATTTAAAAATATTACTTTTATATATTATGGCCTGAAGAAAGCCTAACAGCCAAAACATCACCTTTAACTCAGTTTCTATTTTTGAGTAGTTTATCAACCAACCCCCTCCTTCATTCTTTGGTCTAAAAACTGTTATGGGATTCACTGTCAGTATTTTAAATAGATTCTGGCTCTTTAGGGTCTCATTACAAAGTCTCTCAATATTACAAACCTTTTTTCCTCCTCATTGTACAATAGCAAATGAATGCTTAGTCCAGTTGCAGAAAAGACAGCATAACTGGCTATTTATTTAGGTTCAAAATTTAAGATTCACTTTTATGGTATGTGTATTTTCAAACCATTCACTTAAAAAGGATATTCTTTCTATATTAGGTAATAGGCTGGGTCATAACCATATAGATATTCATTAATTCACAACATGTCCTAAACCTGGGGTTGTTGTAAAGGTGAATGCACAGACTGCAGTTGGTTTAGAAGTACAAACTTGAAGGCTGGGTGTGGTGGCGCACACCTGTAATCCCAGCACTTTGGAAGGCCGAGGCGGGTGGATCACCTGAGGTCAGGAGTTCACAAACAGCCTAACATGGTGAAATCCCGTCTCTACTAAATACAAAAAAAATAGCCGGGTGTGGTGACGCGTGCCTGTAATCCGAGCTACTTGGGAGGCTGAGACAGGAGAATCACTTGTACTTGGGAGGTGGATGTTGCAGTGAGCCAAGATCATGCCATTGCACTCTAGCCTGGGCAACAAGAGTGAAACTGCTAACCATCAACAGATAGTGTGGAACTATTGGCTATCTATATACAAAAAATAAACTGATTCATACCTAACACCACAAACAAATACAAAAACAAAATGGAGGATAGACCAAAAAGGAAAACCTAAAACCATAAAAATTCTAGAAGAAAAAATAGGAGAAAATATTTGTAAAATTAGGTTAAGCAAAGATCTCTTAGATTCAAAATCCTGACGTATTAAAGGAAAAATTGGTACTTCATCAAAGTTAAAGACTTTTGCTCTTCAAAAGATATGGTCAAGAGAATGCAAAAAAAGCTACAGAGTAGGAGATAATATTGGCAAATAACATGTATTTGATAAAGAACTTGTACCCAGAATACATAAGTCAAAAACTAAAACTCCTTAGCAATAAAACCAACAATCTACTATTTTAAATGGACAAAAGATTTGAACAATCACTTTACCAAAGAAGATATATAAATGTCACTAAAGCACATACAAAGGAAATTTTCTAAAGTGACGGATATATTAACGATCTTGATTGTGATGATGGCTTCATCAATCATCAGGAAAATGCAAATGAAAACCACGACGAGATACCACTACATACCTATTAGAATGTCTAAAGTTAAAAAGGGCCAGACCCGGTGGTTTACACCTATAATTCCAGCACTTTGAGAGGCTGAGGTGGGCAGATTATTTGAGGCCAGGAGTTCAAGACCAGCCTGGCCAACATCACAAAGCCCCTGTCTCTACTAAAAACACAAAAATTAGCTGGGTGTTGTGGTGCACGCCTGTAATCCCAGCTACTCTGGTGGCTGAAGCAGGAGAATCACTTGAACCTGGAAGGCAGTGGTTACAGTGAGCCAAGATTGCACCACTGTACTCCAAGCTGGGCAACAGAGTAAGACCCTGTCTCACAAAAACAAAACAACTTTAAATTAAATTAAAAGACTGGACACACTGTGTTGCTGAGGATGTGAACCTAGAGGTCTCATATACTGATGGTGGAAATAAATACTAGCAAAGTACAACTTTAAAAAATATTTGGCAGTTTCTTAAAAAGTTAAACGTACAACTACCATATAATCCAGCCGTTCCACTCCTAGGTATTTACCCAGGAGAAATGAAAGCCTATGTTCATACAATGAGTTAAACACAAATGTTCATAGAGACTTTAATTGTCAAAAACTGGAAATAATCCAAATCTCCATCAATAAGTGAATGGATAAACAAATTATGGTATATCTATCCACTGTAATGCTACTCAGAAATAAAAAGGACTGAACTACTGATGCACTCAACAACATGGAAGAATTATAAAATGATTATTCTGAGTGAAAGAAGCTAGGCCAAATACAAAGAGTACATACTGTGTGATCAAATTTATATAGAATTCTAGAAAACACAAACTAACCTATACTTAGGAAGATTAGAAGCTACCTGAGTAACTTGGGGAAGGCAGGAAGGGGCAGGAGGGCTGAATTATAAAGGGGCAGAAGGAAGTTCTTTGGGGTTACAAATATGTTCATTATCTTAATTGTGACTGTGTTGAAACTATCCAACAGGGTGAGGAGACCTTGTCTGGAATTCAGGGGATTCTTTGGGCACTTCTTAGGGTTAGCATGTCTAATAGTAAAAGTTAATAAAAAGCTACAATTAAAAAAGGGCAGAATTCAGACACATCACAAATGAAAATTTGGGTAACTCTGTCATGTAAAGGACTTTGACCAGCTGAGGTCCTGGCTGAGAGAGGGCAAAGGAAACATGGAATAAGTAATGAGAGAAGGAAGTTATAAACATCAGCTACTGTCTCTGACTAGTTACAAAAATTAAAACAAATTGGCTCTGCACATTTTCTTCCTTCCTTTGATAATTTGGGAATTATAACTCTAGGCCATTGGTTCAGTGAATTGAGAAACCCAAAATAGCCAGGTGAAATTCACACCTTTAATTCAATGAAACCATATGGATCCTGTGATGAAGACCTTCCTTCCTTAGGAAGCATGAACTCCAAACCCAAGGCTGTGGAAACAGAAAGCAAAAATTCTGGAAGTGGGTTTTAACTGTAATTGTAAGAGGAGCCACTCCTACTTCCAACCCTGAATTCCCAGACCCATATATTCTGGCTATGGAGATAAAGCAACATATTTTGATCTTTGATTCAAAGCACATACTTCATTCCCTAAGGTAAAGCCCCATCCTTCAGGGTGTTGTCTCTCATCTGAAGTCTAATTTAGCCTTTAGGAGGCCATTCCACTTTTATTGGGCCAACTGTTTCTAGATGATGGGATATATGGTAAGATCATTGAGTCCTTGGACATGAGACCATTCCTGCAATTATTTTGCTATGAAATGAATTCCTTTTGATAGGAAGAATGTTATACAGAATACCATGAGCATGAATACCATGAAGGCATTCTCTAAGACCAGGTTTGGTGGTGCTGGCAAAGGAACTAAATCTATACCCAGAATGCATTTCTTATTCCAGTGAGGACAAAATCAGAAACAACACTGAGTCTTTGGGGAGAACCAGCCACCCTGGTTCTGACTGGTGACTGTTGCTTCCATCTGATGTTAGCATATTAAGCAATCGGCAGTAGTGGTAACCAGATCAGCCTCAGAGAGGGAAAGATGTTGAGTCCATGCTGAGCTTCCATTCCTACCACCATGGCCACCTTGTATATCGACTGATTGAGTAAGAACCAGGACGGCTAGGGAAAGAGGCTGTCTGACATCCAGACAATAAATGAGTAAATCTATCCATGTGATTACTGAGTGTTCTCTGCAGTGGATAATTTTTTACGAGCATTCATGTGGGACATAAATATCTTCATACCCTGTAACTATTTGAAAGGTACCTCTTCCCCAGACTTCCTTGTCCTGTTCTTTCTGAGTTTCTGATCATCTGATCAAACCATTAGCAACTGCTCATAAATTCATGTAGATATGTATCTTATGGGTGTAATTGTGTCTCCTCAAAATTCATATGTTGAAGTCCTAAGCCCTAGTACCTCAGAATGTAACTGCATTTGGAGATAGGGCCCTTAAAGAGATAATTAGGGTAAACTGAGGTCATATGGGTGGGCCTTAACCCAATATGACTGGTGTTGTTCTAAGAAGAGGATATTAGGAAAAAGACAAACACAAAGGAAAGACCATATAAATGTACAAGGAGAAGATAGCCATCTATCAGTCATGGAGAGAGACCTTGGAAGAAACCAATGCTGTTGACACCTCCATCCTGGACTTCTAGTCTCCAGAACTGTAAGGAAATAAATTTCTGTTGTTTAAGCCACCCGGTCTGTAGTACTGCAATATGGCAGCCTTAATAAACTACACCAGTGTAGTTCTACTCATCTCTCAAGTCAGACAAAATGGACAGCCTAATGGACGGCTTGAAATTCTGCCTACTAGAAAGATTGCCTTTCGTTAAATATTCCTGTAGATCAAAACATTCTAATTACCACTATGTCGCTGCAGCCCTTAACAACAAATATGCCCAACCTGTTTTTGGAAATTAAGTGCTGCCATTTGACCGAAAGAAGACAATTACCAGAAAGCTGTTCAAGGATGCAGGTGCTCCTTTCACTAATGCACTTCTTTAAGCCTTTGTAAAGTGAGTGTCCTCTGGGCTGTCTGAGGTGATGTAGTTAGGTAATAGCTATGCACAACATGCATAAGTCCACTCCAATATTCCTGTCATCATAAACCTTTGGCTTCTACTATTCCAAAGAAATTCTGGCATATTTTCCTCATTATATATATAGGCCACCATTGAGTCTAACTTTTAGTCAACCAAACAAATAAATGGTTAGAGTCACTTCCAGCTGCACAAGCTAATGCATTAAATTCAGAATATCTAGTAAGAGTATCCATATCAATAAATGTGGCCCAACCCAATGTTATAGTACTTCTTCCTTGGTCCAATACTCTTAAGAATTCATTCCTGGCTGTATTTCCCAGATTTCATCCAACACATATCAGCAAAATTTTGCAGTTCTCTTAGCACATAAGCTATTTCCTCCTTGCTGAAACTTCAGACTTGTATTCCTGGAGCGTACTGAGATATGACCCTAGTAATGAGTCTAGTGACAACAAAGAATGGTTGGGGTGGGTCTTGAGAAGAATGGCATTCCCTTGCAAAGCAACTGCCCAGGGTAGGGTTATCAGAGGATTTTCAATAGGGGATGGCTAGTCTTAGACATGAAAAGACAATTTCCTTCCATTAACAATGCCTTCACCCCCCATTTCAGAATCCCACATCTTCCAATTGATGCCCTTACTTTTATGGGACAGACTTGGCAAAACCGTGAATTCAACTTATGTTAGAATTGTGTAGTCTGCATAATTAAATTTGGTGTTAAATTTTCAGCAATATAGGTTTGGTTGCTACAAGAAATAAGGTTATTTTAAGGCTAATATAGAAGCTCTCAGGTTCTCTCACCATGTTTTAAACCAAGAGTTAGAAACCTGTGCTTAATTTTCAGCAATATAGATGTGGTTGCTACGAGAAATAAGGTTATTTTAAGGCCAAAATAGAAGCTCTCAGGTTCTCTCACCATGTTTTAAACCAAGAGTTAGAAACCTGCGCTTCTCATTTGCTTTCTGGAAATTTCCAGGTCATTCAAAAGAATTCATCCCATACCAAGGTCCTTTTAGTCATTAACATAGCCATAGTGGCCAAGAGTGGCACCTGCTTAGTCTCCCAAAATGCTTGTCTCAGAAGGTACTTAATTACAGTCAACTATAGGTGATAATTTGATTAATTTTGATGTTACTACATGCCATGGGTTACCAGCATCTCATATCCTATTGGTACAAATTTCAGCATTTTATTCAAGCCTAAGGACATTTCCAAACCAACCCCAAATCCCATTTTTATAAAATACCCTCAAAATCATTCTACTTTATTTAGACTTTCTTTAGTATATATCCAACTCATTTCCTAGCCTGTAAAATATGATTGGTACCAATAATTGTATAAGAAAGGATGACCAGTAATAAATTGCAAAAATGTTTTCAAATGTGATAAACTCTCATGTGAATCACTGAAAAAAGCATCTTTCTTACTTTGTAGTAAGTCTGGTATAGTGATTGGGAGCTAACATTTAAATGATAAATCTAATGCTTATTTCAAACCAACAATTGTACACTGCCTCTCAAGGAATTTGTATGTAGCTAAGCCACAGATTGACTCTGTTCTGATTTTACATGTATTAAGGGCACTGTACAGATACTGAAACCAAATTCCTTAGGAAAAAAGAGAACGTTTTAATTTCCACTTTGATTTTGTATAAATTCTTTTTGACTGTCCTAAATGTATAGCTATTTGGGAGAAAATAACAAGGCCTGTAATCTTTTTCATAGCTATCACATTATAGTAAACTGATTTTTTTTAATTTCCCTTCTCTCTAATTCCTCGTGGTAGGTAGGAAAAAGAAAGATAATTATCTAGAATTCAACTTTTACTAAATAGTAAGATGGCAAGCATCAATACTACTTCTAGAACCAAAACAAAATACAAATTACAAAAACTAGTTCTAGAACTGTATCTCTTAAGCACAAAGTGAGGTTGCAAGACAGATGATGCTTTTCTAAATTTAAACAATGTTCATAAAAGAAAGCTTAACTCTTACAAATCTGTAGATTTTGTTCTGGAACTTAGATATTGAGTAGATCCAGTTCCCTAAGAGTCATGAATGTCACAGTGTCAACAAAATGTTTCATAGAATATGACTCAGCCATTTAAATGAGTAATGATAAATCAAGTTACACTAATTTTTTTGTTCTACTTACTTCAGCCATCACAATAGTAGAAAACAATGGATAATCCCTAATTTGTAAATTGACTCTTTCATTATATCAAGTTATGTTGTAACAGATTTAGTATAATACATTTGATTAAACATTTCAAGAATGTTGAATCAAACTGATATAATTGACGCATTACGAAATATTAAAATTTCTACATTTAAGGGCAAGGGATCCATTCAGGAAACAGAATTATGTGATAGAAATAATTGTATAAAAATTGTGTAGTCCAGTGGTTAATTCCGTAGCTACATATTAAATTCATGTTGGGAATTATTTTTTGTTTTTTATTTTTAAATGATGAGGCCCTATCTAAATGAGAAACTTTAAGGGTTGAGCTCCAATATTGGTAGTTTCTAAAAGTTTCTCAACCGGGTATGAGAATTACTCTCACAGGCATCTGTATCAATACAATATTAATCAAAAAATTATATTATTTTCTCAAAGACTTCTTTAAGAAATGACTAGTTAAGAAATGAAATGATAATTTGAACTACTATATAATAATCAGCTTCAGAGTGGGCATATTTCCTATCAATTTATCATGTAAGATTTGAAAAATATTAAACAATTTTTGCTGTTAAAATTTAAAATTTTATACTTAATTAAAATAAATCTACTCATTAGTACTTTTTTCCTTGTTGTTTTTACTGTTTACATATTTTTCTTAGTGATTCTTCCACATATTCTAAAAAGTCAGATAAAAATTTAACTAAAATAGACAATCCTTTGATTCATTTATGTATTTATAGGAGGTTTTTAGAGAATCCTGATAGAGTATTACTCAGTAGTTTAAAAGACTGTGTATTTCACATTTAAACATTGTCAAACATTAAACAGAGTTAAATAAAATAAAAACAATGTGTGATATCCTGAAAAAATAATCATAGCACTGCATAGCGCTGTAACAAAGAATGAATGGAACTGAATCTTATTTTATGAAGAAAGCCTTCTCTAAGAAGTGTGTTTTTAAAAACTGAAAGCAACTGTTATTTATGGATAACTCATTTTAAAGTTAAAATCACTGTGATATTCCAAAAGTTAAAAAATTAACTTTTAAAAGTAACATATTAAAATATTAGACATAAAATGTTGACATTACGTATAACAAAACAGTACATTTCAACTATAATTACAGTAAAAATTCAAGAATTAGCATATCTCCATAAAACTTTTTTAAACTTAGATGTGAACCTTTCTACTCGTAGTATGAGTCAATAAAATCCCTGTCCTGAGGTTCTAATGGGATCTTACCATAAGCCCTATCATCATTGCCCCACATCACACTGACCGCAAGATTATTTTATGCTTGATTGGCCTTGGCTCAGGATTCCTATCATAGGAGTAACAAATGGCCTGGCCATACAGATGGAATTTTGTTTTATTATGATTTCAAAGATAAAAGGATCAATTGCTTCCCAAGCTTTCCCCTACTTGATTACCTGAACTTCCACAATTAAAAACCTACCTCATAGGTTATCATGAGAGGTTAAATGAGTTAATGTTTATAAAACACACAGAACAGTGAGTGAATGTTAACACAATTTTCATTCCTTCAACCTACAGTATGTTTTAAGAAATAAGACATAGCTATGGTTTGAATGCATATGTCCCTGCAAAATTCATATGTTGGAACTTAGACCTCCATGCAATAGTATTAATACTATTAAAATAGTATTAATAGTATTAAAATAGACCCCCTATTAAAAAATAGGAGCCTTTTGGGAAGTGATTAAATTATGAGGGCTCCTCCCTCATGAATAGGATTAATGAGCTTATAAAAGAGGCTTCAGAGAGGTGCCTGCCTTTCCATCCCTTTTCCTCTTCTGCCTTTTCTGCTATGTGAGGACACGCTCAAGAAGAGGCTATAGATAGGACAAGCCCTCACCAGGAACCGAATCAACTAGCACTGTGATCTTGGACTTCCCAGCCTCCAGAACTGTGAGAAATAAACTTCTATTGTTTATAAATTACTCAGACTAAGGGATTTTATTATAGCAGCAAGAATAGACTAAGACAGACATTAAACCATAATAGGAATTTTCACTTGAGGGATTAGTATATTTCAATCCCGTCCCTAGAGCAAGGATAAATAGGGCCAAATCGGAGAGGACAAGAAAAAATTGGATATCTTCTAAAAGGAAAAAGGATGTGAAAACAGAAAAACAACTGTGAAGGTAAAAGGCTCAGAACAAAAATGTCTATTACTAAACTACAAGATACAAATGTCCCTCCCTTTACAACTTTGCTCAGTATCAATTTGCCATCCATGCCATTAGGCAATGTGAAACTGCAGCAACACAGCCTGCTCAATTCTTCTGCAGAGCACGCAGAACCATTAACTCATTTTTGTTACTAAATTCAGAGGCTTAAAAAAAGTTAGCATATATTTGATTCAAACAATGCTTGAGTGCTAAATGTGAGTTATGTTATTTTAATTTTCTTTACATCAAAGACACCTCTTCACACACATTTAGACTTAAGGTAAAGCAAAGTTGTCACATATTAACATTAGGGTTAATATGTTTAGATAGTTAACAATATCACATATAGTGAACATAATTTCAATGCAAATTTTCTTTCTATAAAATTAAAGATAAAATTTCACACATAAAAATTGGTAGTTTTCTTAAGAAATTCAAATACTGAAAACATATAAATGTAGATTTAATTTTGAAATATGTAAAATTTGAAGCAGCAAGTGTGCATATTTATAAATTGTGCCTACATATACCATAGCAACTGAATGCAAAATGAATATTCAATTCATTTTCAGTACAAACACACAAAAGTGTTTTTTTCCCCATTCAAATGTCCTCTGTTTTTCCCCTTAAATGATCTACTACTTTGATAATTTATGAATTCAAAGTGCTGGAGTTTTACTGGCTTGCTGCTTTTCTTAATTATTGAGATAGATAAATAAATCATAATGTTCTTTAATTGGAGCTTTTTGTTTGTTTAAATATAAGCTTATCCTGACCCTGATTCTGTGATATCTAAGCATTTCTCCTTTTGTCCCTTCTTTCCTTTACTTGTTTTAAGTAATTTCTCCAAGCCTAGCTTCTGCCTCTGAAAAATGAGGCCAAACAACAGAGTTTCATGAGGATTAAATGAGATAATGTCTGCAAAGCTTCCAGTACAGTGGTTTTATTTAGTTTCAATAACTAATTTATTTTCTTCTTACTTCTTGTTTTCTTCTCAGTTCTAGAACAGTCAGAGAAATTTTAATGGATGAAAAAAATATTTGCTCCATCACACCCCTGATTCATTTCCCAGTTTGGGTACTGGTTAACAAAATATTTGATGTTAAGAGTTTTCTTCATTATAGGATATGGAGAAAACCCAAGACTTTTACCCACTTACCTAACTGCGTAATGTTCCATCTCCATGTTGCCAGGAGATAATTCATGGTTGAGCTGCTGTAAAATTTCCCTTTAGCAGCCACAGTTGCTCCAAGGTGGATGATTAAACTGAAGGGCTAGCTTTAGAACTAGAGAGAACTTGACAGCTTCACAGAATGTGTGATTTAACATAAATTCTGATGGAGGAAACAGCAAGAATGACAGGGATTTCAGCAGAATAGGCAGCAATTACTAATCTTTCTGTTAACAGAATAACTGACTGATCATTAGGCTACTGTTGCTGTTCTTGTAGTCTCAGGAGTTCATTGGACAGTGGTTAGGGATTAGGCAGCATCTTCTAATTCCATGAGAACATCCTGGCCTGAAGTTTTTAACTGATTCACAAGTGTTTGGAAATTGATAAGAAGGTTATTGATGATGGCTCAAGCTACAGTTTAGAGACTGGCTAACTTATTGAGTGGGAAACCACACATTTGAAAGTTGGTCAAGTACATGAGGTTGTGAGAGAGTTTGTAAACTAAACCGTAATTGTGGACTCTTTGTGTTCACAATAAAGTTCATTAAATCCTTTGAGGCAAAAATAAATACCTTTTGGAGGAAAATTGTCCATTACATTCCTTTAAGTCTCCCAAGTACAAATTTCACAAAGAATAAACAATATTAATTTACTGAGCTTAGTTTTCACCAAAGATAACCTCAAAGGTTCTAAGATATTTAATGATTTATGTTTAATCTAATCCTTGCATACGTTTGACATTGTCTTTTCAGAATGTTGTAAAATAGCAGAAAATGTTCCCAAGTCCAATATAACTATAATTTGGAAAACTTTCACACAAGCAAAATAATTTCAATTTTAATTTGAAAACAGTTTCCAAACATCAAGAAACTGCTGGTTATCTCGAGAGAGAGTAACTCGGGAAAGCCAGAGCTTTACTTTTTATCATTCTGTCTCTGTGAAACTTTGTTGTTGTTTTTTGTTTTTTTGCTTTCTTTGAGACAGCCTCTCATTCTGTCAACCAGATTGGAGTGCTAATGGTGACTACAGCTCACTGTGGCTTGGAACTCCAGGCTCAAGCAATCCTCCCAGTTCAGTCTTCCGAGTAATGGACTACAGGTGCTTGCCAAAGCATCCAGGTAATGTTTTTGTAGTATTTGTAGAGACAGGATCTGGCTTTGTTGTCCAGGCTGACCTCCCAGAGTGCTGGGATTACAGGTGCAAGCTTTTTAAAAAACATGTCCTAAACAGGCACTGACTGTCACACGCCTTTAATTCCAGCTACATGGGAGGCTGAGGTGGGAAGATCACTTGAGCCCAGGAGTTACAGTCCAGTCTGGGCAACAGTGAGACCCTGTCTCTAAAATACAAAATTTCAAAAAAAAAAAAAAACAAATGGCACACACCTTAATCCCAGCTACTCCCAGCAACTGAGGAGGATCCCTTGAGCCCAGGAGTTGGAGACCAACCTGGGCAACACAGTGAGACTCTATTTGAAAAAAAACTTTTATTGTTGTTGTTAAACAATAATTTCAAGACTTAATGTGAATTCCCAAAACTACGTTAAGGATATGTGACTTTCAAATACCAGTATTTCTCAAAACCATATGATATAGGCAATTAAGAAAAAGTAAATTTTACTTGATAAGTTAAAAATTTGATAGTACAATGAAATTAAAACATCATAATATGTGAAAAGGAACTATCCTGTCAATCTCTGTAAAGTTATAGCCAGTACATAATAAGAAATTAGGACAATTAATTGATAGCTCAAGCCCTCCCTTTCTTGTTTATTACCTTCTTAATAGTAAACCTAAAATTTCACAGCCCCAGTTCCAATCAGTACTGTTGAATAACTCTAGTTATCAATCAATACTTGTGATAGCAATTCAAAAATATAAATTTTTACATACATGCTTAATGTTATTGGTAGTAAAATTGACATTTTTAAGGGGCTTTCAAATTGACATTTTTAAGGGGCTTTCAAAAATCAATATATTTTGGTGAATATAAAATTTCCTTTGAAATTTTATATTTTAGAGAGAGGGTCTCACTATATTGGTAGTAAAATTAACATTTTAAAGGGGCTTTTAAAAATCAATATATTATTGGCGAATATAAAATTTCCTTTGAAATTTTATATTTTAGAGACAAGGTCTCACTATATTACCCAGACTGGACTCTAGCTCCTGGGCTCAAGTGATCCCCCCACCTCAGCCTCCCATGTAGGTGGGATTACAGGTACGTGACAGTCAGTGCCTATTCAGGAAATTTTTTTTAAAACTTTGCACCTGTAATCCCAGCACTATTGGAGGCCAGCCTGGACAACAGAACCAGACCTCCGTCTCTACAAAAACTAATAAAACGTAGGCCAAATAAGCAACTAAGAAATTATTTCCTGCATAATGGCATTCGCAGCAACCTGAATGGAATTGGAGATATTATTCTAAGTGAAGTAATTCAGGAGTGGAAAACTAAACATTTTATGTTCTCACTCATAAGTGGGAGCTAAGCTATGAGAATGCAGAGGCATAAGAGTGATACAATAGACTTGGGGGACTCGGGGAAAGGGTGGGGGGGCAAGGGATAAAAAAAAACTACACAGAGGGTACAGTGTATACTCTTCAGGTGATGGGCACACCAGAATCTCAGAAATCATGACTAAAGAACTTATTCATGTAACCAAACACCATCTGTTCCCCCAAAAACCTACTGATTTTTCTTTCTTTGAGATGGAGACTCGCTCTGTCGCCCGGGTTAGGGTGCAATGGTGCCATCTCAGCTCACTGCAATCTCTGCCTCCCGGATTCAAGAGATTCTCATGCCTCAGCCTCCCAAGTAGCTGGGATTACAGGCACCTGCCACCACGCATGGCTAATTTTTTTTTGAAACAGAGTCTCACCCTGCCCAGGCTGGAGCACATTTTTATGGTTTTAGTAGAGATGGGGTTTCACCATGTTGTCCAGGCTGGTCTCAAACTCCTGACCTTAAATGATCTGCCCGCCTCAGCCTCCCAAAGTGCTGGGATTACAGGCGTGAGCCACTGCACCTGGCCAAAATCTATCGAATTTTTTTTAAAAAAAGAAAAGAAATTATTTCCTGTAGCTTTTTCTTTGAACTTGGATGCATAATTATGGAAGTGAAGCATGCAAAGAATCACATTCATATCACAGTGTTTTGCCCTCTACCCTTCTGTCTTTTATAGTCTTGAATAGAGAACCAAGAGAAATCAAGTCAAGATTTTTAGCTTCTATTAAACCCAAATAGGTTCATTAATCTCATGTAAATTGATGGACAAGTATATGTATCTCATTATAGGTTTTTTAAATGTAATCATTATGCTTTCATGTATTAAGGTGTCACTTTAAGCATTACTTCCTCAAGTAAGTCTTGCCTGGCCACCCATTCTAAAGTAAGTCCCCTTTTATGTTTTATTTATCATAACACTGATAACTATCTGATATTTTCTTTTATTTACTTGTTTACTATCTTTCCTCTTTAAAATGTAGATTCCATAATCAGAAATCAGTAGGACCAAAAGTAGTAACAGGTTCTCAATAAATACTTATTAAATGAAGAAATAAGCTTATATTTTTTAAAAGGAATTCCTATGAACTTGAGCATATAATGGATAACTTGATAATCATGTTTAATTTATGTGTTTATGAAGCATTACTTACATTCCAATTATTTCTAGAATTATATGAACAGTCTCCAACTAGTCTCTCCTCCCTTTCTTTCAACATAACATATTCTTAAATGTGGCAAACTGCAGACATTTTGTGAGGACTTGTTTCAATAACTGAACACACATTAAACAGCTAAAATAAGTTGTCTTCAAAAGCAAATTGCAAACAGCTAAAATAAGTTGTTTTCAAAAGGAAATTACAAAGAGTGACTGTTTCCAGATGTAAACTACTCCATGAGTGACATCTGCTTATTCCTTCCCCCAGTGTCAGTGTCCATACTTGGGCTTGCTATTCTCTGCTCTCTATACTTTCCTTGGCAAACTTCACATATTTTATCATTTTAACCTAATCACAAATGTCTATTGATGCCTTCCAAATAGAATCATACTCCTATATCTGGACTTTCTGATTAACTGGATGATACTGCAAACTCCCCACTTCTGAAAGGAGTTGATTGTTTTTCCTTCCACCCTCCTTCTTCTAGCCACCAAAGCCACTATGGTACTAAGACAAAACGTTAGGTCAAAAAATCTACATGTTGTTCTTTTTAAAATGTCTCTATCACATGTCTTCTCTTCTTTGTTCCCAACTTCAGGTTTCATCACCTTCTCAGATTATTTCAACAGTCTCCAACTATTTCCCTAATTCCCTACTAGGCCCATTGTGGCTCACCTGAATACTGATTACGGTGAAACTTCTTTAAATGCTACTTACCTCATTTTGTTTATGTGGTCATATTTTGTATCATAACACCTTTAAGATTCACTACAAACACCCTAGTCCAACCCACAATCATCTTTTAACAATTACCTCTGCTACATAACTACTTTTCCCTCAACCACACTTTTCTTACTCTACATCAGGGGTGTCCAATCTTTTGGCTTCCCTGGACCACATTGGAAGAATAATCGTCTCGGGCCACACATAAAATACACTAAGACTAATGATAGCTGATCAGCTTTTAAAAAAATCACCAAAAGAATCTCATGTGTTGGGTTGCATTCAAAGCCATCCTGGGCCACATGCAGCCCATGGGCCATGGGTTGGACAAGCTTGCTCTTCATACTTCAGACAGAATGATCTGTTTAAAGTGTAAATAAATCCAAACATGCCACTCCCTTGTTTATAATCATTCAGTGGCTTTCCACCACACTTAGGTCAAAGATCAAAACCCCACAAAGTCTGTCTCCCTCTCTAACCTCATCTTAGTCCATCCTACCTGATTTCCATATATTTCTGTACTCTAATCACACTGAGCTTAAAGTTCCTCAAAATGAAAGCCTTCTTCCTACCTGGGGGCCTTGACATGTGTTGTCTCCTTATCTATAAAGGTCTGCCTGACCCCTTCCCTTTGCTCAGTCATCTACTCCTCCTCTAGTTAACCCTGTCAAACGTTACATCTTAAGGGAAAATTTCCTAACTCCAGTCCTTGTCTCAGACTAGTTACATATTCTCATAATTTTATGTACTTCTTCATTACAAAATGTATCATTCCATAACTAATTAGTTAATTGTGTAATTGTGTAATTGCTGTTTAAAGTCTAGCTTCCCGACTAGAATATTTCATGAGATAGGGCATGAATTGGATTTGGTTTACCACTGTTCTCCCATGCTTGGTGCAGCACTTTGCACACAGTAGCTGTTCAATAAATATTTGTTGAATATATCAAAGAAGAAATCTGAAGTAACTATCTGTAATTTCTATCATCAAGTCTCCCTGCTGGCCAAGTTTCAAGAATATAAATAATCTGGCCTTATTCCATCTATCCACAAATATAATCATCACTACTGAATATAAAACTCTACTGTCTTCTCATTCTCAAAAACGTGCTGTGCTCCTTCATGCATTCAGGTCATCAGTGATCATTTTGTTTTTCTAACCAATAATGCTGTTTCTTCTAACTATCTTAATTCTACAAGTCTTTCAAAGCCCCGACTCAAAAATGCAAATATTACTTTCTCCAAATAATCCTTCATTTGTCATTCATACTAATTTGTCTTTACTGTGGATTTCTATTAATATACTCATTAATAGGTATCCCACAATTTGTTAGTCACTTGAACCTGATCTTAGGTTTCTTAGAGTGAGCTTTTTTTGTTGTTGTTGTTTGTTTGTTTGTTTGAGACAGGGTCTCACTCTGTCACCCAGGCTGGAGTGCAGTGGTGCGATCTCAGCTCACTGCAACCTCCGCCTTCCAGGTTCAGGCGATTCTTCTGCCTCAGCCTCCCGAGTAGCTGGGACAACAGGCGCCTGCCACCATGCCCTGCTAATTTTTATATTTTTAGTAGAGATGGGATTTCACCATGTTGGCCAGGCTGGTCTCGAACTCCTGGGCTCAACTGAACCGCCCGCCTCAGCCTCCCAAACTGCTGGGATTACAGGCGTGAGCTGCCGCGCCGGGTGTGAGCATCGTTTCTTATACTTTTTCTAAGTCCTCTTCCAAGGCTTTCTATCTCTCAAGCCTACACCCTCAAACATGTAAATAGCCCCTAGCACAGTATATTAGTAGAAGGTAATCAATAAAAATTTGCTGGTTAGTAGGTTTAATATTGGTTCAGAAATTTGTAATTGATTTCCTCATATTTATCTTTACCTTTAATGTAGTAAAAAGCGGTATGGCCACTTGTACATTAGAGGTTTCTTTTGTAATTAAAAGACAAAAGCCTAAAAGTGACCCAGATATTTAGTCTGAATTTTCTGCTTTATTTTATAATAAAGTCTGTTGACAATAGCAGTGTGGATCCAAATTTTACGAGAGTCCAGGGTCAGTTACAATGTTCATGACAGGTGACTTGCCAAGCCCATTATATCTCCCAGGGTATCATTTAGTACCTTTTTGCATCAAAAGAGAATTCACTGTAGCTTCAAAAAATGCATTCATAGACTAAAATAGTACCTTAATAATCTTGAAAGAGTTAATGAGGTCAATCAAATGCTTAGCCCAACTTTCAACTTCCAAATCAAGAACATTCCCTCTCAATGGTACAGAAATAGAAAAGGTCTGCACGTTTTGATGACTCACTTTTCTACCACCTGGTCTTATGAATATATTTGTTTGTTGTTTATTAACTCAACACTTCACTGTTTCGTTATTTTTAAGGACCTTAGGATCTCATTGGTGGGAACATAATAAAATAACCCCAAAAAAATTTCACTGGTTTGAGTTGCCCTTCTTACATTTGTTATTTTGAACTCATGTTGTGTGAAAAGGAGAAAAAGACAAATTTTCACTGTTTATACCATATTTCTAATTTCTGCTCCAAAATGTAACAAATGATATAAATTCTCCATGTAACTCTTAGATTTCAGGTTAGATATTTAGAGAGATTAACTTTTAAGTCACAGGAGTACCCTTTAGTAACATGAGCCATATCTTTATTCATAATTCCCAAGGGATTTATGAACTAAGGAGCTTTAAAAATTGGAACTAATAGAGCTTTCAGAAATGGTCCTAACTTCAAGGAGAAGGTTAAGCCAGGAAGACTCTTATTTCTTGTATCATTAGTTAAAATTATAAGTATTTTAGGCCATTTATAAGCAGCATGCTTCTATGAGTTAGATATTTTAATCAAGGTGAAATAAAAATATTAAAATTACTTACAAAATATTTTTGTTTGGAATACATTAATAATTCTGTGGTCTAGCACTTAGTTCCCATGTGTCCAGTTAACTTGGCCCTATTTCATAACTATTGACTATTCCCCACATCCAGAATAGGATCTCAAATAAATATCCTACAAATGGCCTTGAAAGCTAGCTTAGAGGTTGCTTGCAGTTACATACTTACTCGCAAATAAATCAATGATCTTAGTCTACCTGGGAAGGGTAATCTCTTCAACAAAGCAGGGCAGCATCAACAGGACTCCCATATTGAGAGAATCAGTCTATCTATCAAAATCAAGCCCTTAGATCCAGAGGGCAACGGCTGTCTCAGAAAGATAAATCTCTTATTTAAATGTATTCATTCTTTCATCCACAAAAACTTATTGAGCATCTACTATGTGTCTGACACTGTTCTAAGTATAGGATATTCAGCAGTGAACAAGACAGGTAAGTCCCCTACTCTACAAACCTTATGAGTGCCTAAGAATCAGGAAGGGGCGCCGGGGAAAATGATAAGCAAATGAAGAATCATACTCGTTGCAAGGTGGATAGAATAAGAAATTGATGTCAAAATAATTTCAAATTAAAGAACATGCTATACAAAAAGCCCACCAGGTGCACACTTTTCCTAGACAGTGAACTATATACATATAATACATTATTTAGCTAGCTAACTGGATAAACTAGATAGATATAGATTTGTATCCAAATATTTAATCCAAGAAATCTTTCCAAGATCACACATCCCATGGCATTCCCTGTCCCACAGTGAACAAAGGAATTAGTGTCACATTTTCAAAATGACAGATTACTCACCAAGATAAAATTGTATATGCTTAATAAGTAGGTAGCTTTTTTATTATAGATGTGTACATAAGCCAATTAATAAAGATAATTAAGAAACAGAATTAGTAATATGTTCTAAATGAATGTTTAAAGTATTTGTTCATTAATTTCACTTGAGAATGTATCTATACACCAATCATTCACCTGCCCTGAATTTTAACTATGGAAATTCCAACCAAATTCCTTGTATAAATAAATGTAGATAAAGCAAAATAGTCCAATAAATACTTATAACAGAAGAGCAAATTTTACATAAATACTCTGTTCCTATTTTATAGATGGTTTATACACCTTCCAAAATTTATTTAGAATCACCTGGGGCTTTTGGCCAATTGTCTACTCACACAAATGTGCTAAATAATAGAAACTTCTAAAAAAATTATTACTGTTATATTACATATCAATTCACATTCCAAAAAATGTTATATTTCAAAATGCACAAGTAAACCCCCATTTTATTGTTAATGCATCCATATACATTGTATACATGCCTTCATAAGCATTCCACTGTATTAGAAAAATATACCCTCCTAAAGGTATTTAAATAGGCAGAAACACTTTTTACAAAGCAAACAATTAATTTATGATCATGAAAGGTGTGTGTAGACTAGAGAATTAATGAAAAGCAAAACATCTTAAACAGTCTTTTAATGTTATGAATTTGATTTTTCAAGAAATACATGTCATTTATTTTCAAAACGAAATGATAGCTATACTTTCTAGAGTCTATCAATAGTATTTAAAATAAGATACTCATAACTTTCAAATACTGCTTTTACTAGTCATCACTCGTCATTAAATGTAACTGTATATTCAAGAGCTTTCTAATAATAGCCTTTAATTAAACGAAGGACTGTTAGAGGGTTTCTGTTGCCCTTTGAAGTTCTTAATTATTACTTGTATCCAGCATTTTATGGTACACTTAAGGTTAAATTAAATCATTTAAATATACCTTGAAGAGAAATATGAAGACTTTTGCCCATTTTAATTAAATCTCTGAATTTCAGTATTTGAAAATAATAACATATGTTTTGATTTTTTTTTCATGGCCGAATGGCAAAATGCTCACTATATTAAACAACAAAAAAAGAAATGGTAGCTTTTTATGGGACTAATCGCTAAGCAGATGCATGTAAATGAGCTATTTTCTATGCATGGCTTCCAAAAGTGCTAATTAAATAGTTGGTATTCAAGGCTATGCTCGCTCATTGTTTAGTGACACACAAATCCAGCGATGTGTGCCAGCAGACATTTTAAGTTGAATGTTTTCTCCTCTACGGTCTTTGTCATGAAATGGTGGCACCATGATGAGAACACTAGTGTAAGCAAAACATTGAAATATGCTTTAATAATGTTTTAACCATGTAGTGACACTAGCCTAGTTTTCTAATGAATTTTTAATTTCTGTTTTCTTATAAGGGTGATATGAGTTATCGCTGATGCATATTAAATCATATACATGAGTCATTTTCTCTAAATTTGCATAAAATGGCTAAATGCTAATGCACCAAATGGAGCTTACTATATGTGGTACAGCAAATATTCCCTTGAAGATTTTCTGCAATCAATCTCCTGTATTTCATTAGCAACCAGATAAGGTGTGGTCTGCAGAATAAAAAAAGAAAAGTGTGTAGCTCATGAACTTATGAGGCTTCAGATGATTTCTACGTGGTGATTAGAGTGGATTCTGCAATTAGAATTTATGTAGGTAAAACACACATGTGCTTCCTTTAAAGGCACAGTGCAACAAAAGTTCTGAATACAGCCTTGCAATTGTTAAACAATGAAAAGGCACCATTCAATTATTGTGATTTTTTTACATCTATAATTAAATGAAGGAAAGCCATACTTTAAATTTAGTATCATTTGATTGGCATAACCCTTACTGAAATTTTACAATTTCCCTACTATGTTTATAAAAGAACTTTTAAAAATAACCATGTGTGAAATATTTTGTTTGCTAACTGTTCCCATTTTCCTTGTCAAATAATGGTGAAGAATTTTCTGGACTAATGTTTAACATTTAAAAATGTTTTTTCTATCATCAAATACTCTTACTGAACTGACATTAGGATCATATGCTTTATAAAAAATTGCATTAGGGTAACAGTATTATTGGGCAAACCAGAGATGTTTACTTGAAGGATAAACTTGCTGCTTACTCACTCCACTCATCAACCCTTTTCTCGTCTCCTACAGTTCCACCATCTGGAATATTTTTTAACCCAGTAAAGAAAAAATTGGGGAAGGGGATGGCTATTTAAAAATAAATGCTTTGCCCTACAGTTATTTTGAATTAGTCTTGATAAATAATTAAGGAATCCATAATACATTATTTAGATGCCATGGTCTTAAGAATTTGAGTGGTATTTCAAGTACAATTATAGTCATTTATTTATCAGTAGAAAATTTACATAATCACACTTCAAAATCCAGTGGACTGGAGAGATATCAGAAAGACACCCATGAATGTGGTAATGACTCCGAGTATTAGATTAAGTTAATAATGTAGTGATGCACATGATATTCTAATATCTAGCACTACAGTATTTGATCACTTAAAATGATAAAGGCATAAATATTTTTCTCTTTTCAAACTGTATTTTATGCAGAAGGGCTCTTTATAGTATAAAATGCAATTTGAAAAATCAAAATTGAATTAGACAATCTCTAATGAAATAAAGCTAGTTAACTTTTAATAAATAAAGCCAAAAAATTTTCAATGACCATGAAAATAATTTTATTATAACAATAACTATTGGCTAACAAGAAATAGTGTTCACTTCATATATTTTTGAACTGACAATATAGACCTTTAAGCTGAAGTCCAGAAAAATGACAGAAATTCAACTCCTCTTTCCTATCATTGAACACGGCATGCAAATGGAGGGATTACCTATTGGAAAGGTAACACACTCTCTGTTAGCTCAGTCATGCTATAGATTCTTCCTTAGCAGCTAGTCCATCTGAGACAAATTTGGCAGAAGTATATGCAGTATTTGTACTGTGCTGTTTGAATCACTGGAATCCCATGTCATACCTGCAAACTGAGATTTTAGACTATAATTGAGCACGAGTCTTCAGTGTGGAAATCTAAGCTACTCAGCAATTTTTAACTTTATTTGGGGAGAGCTAAACTTTTTATTTTTATATTAATCTACGTACCTAGAAATTGTCATAAGAGTTACTTTATAAAACAATGCAAATGCAAATTTGTCAATTAATTCCTATATCCTTGCTGTCTAGGTATTTTCGCTACTGGAACCACTCAAGAGGTATATATTACAAACCCCAAAGATGAATTCCTATCAGATTATTTTTCTTCCATCCATTTCAAACTCCACTTGCCATGAATTTGTCATACATTCATTGCCATGAATTTGTCTAAACAGTTTTCAAGCTATACCACAAACCACTCAATACCCTCAACTTCATCTTCCCAATATCAGTCAATGCTAATTTAACTTTGTATGTACATCATATATTTCAAGGGTAACTCAATCCATTAAAGTAATATATATTGGGTAGTGACTGTGTACAAACTATGTACTTTCTAATAATAAGGCCTAAAATCTATTATTTGAGCTCCTCGCAAAGACTATTATATTTATGCAAGTTTCAAGAACTTATAATGCTCATTGAATTAAAAATAAGGACTAAGTACACTTTTATTATTACTATACAAGAGATTTAACCCTGACAGGAAGTAAGTCCATAGATTCTGAATTTCAATGATATTACATCTATTATTGTCTTCATGAAGGTATTATGTCCAAATATATTATATGAAGTATTTTTAATTAGGCCAGTGTTGATAAATACGTAATTATATTTGAGATACTTATTCGGTGAAAATATTTCTAAATCATACTTGTTAGAAATTTTTCCATCCCAGTAAATTTCATTCATATGTATACATTTGTGTGTGTAGGAAGACATTTTTCCCTAAAAGACAAAGATTTAAGAGACATTCTGGGTAATATTCTGTAGATCATTTTTTGTGGCCTGATTCAGAGAAAGTATTTATTGTCTATCTTTTTTTTTTCTTTACGCACATCTCTTTTCTCAAGTGGTTCCTTTCACAGGTTTTCACCAACTATTAAAGTGATTAGCGTCTGTAGTTTTTTCCAATCTCCCACTAGCTATTAATGATATAATAAAAAAAATCTTAACCTTGTCAAGTTTGAATTTAAAACTTAAAAAAGCCAAGAGCCAGGTTGCAGTTAAAATTCTCCTGATAACTTGTTTTCCGAGGGCCAGTGACTATTAAAAGAAACTCAGAGAAAACACGAAATCTGTCAGACAGCTACTTAGTGACAGAATTAAATGAATATTGTTAGGTAAGTGTTTTAATAACGCAGCATTTTCGAAGCATTTTCTGAAGATTATTTCTCATTGGCCCTGTCATAAAGTGGTAGCAAACTGCTTTAAAACAGTAATCAGACCGAAAGTAGTTGAGGAAGCCTATGACAGGAAGTTGTTAATAATATCCTTCGAAATTTACCTGTGAAATACAGAGCTTGACTACTTTTGTAAAAGTGGAATTGAAAGTAAACGGCCTCTGTAATGCAAATCGACCAGCAGCAAGAAAGCCACTACCTTTGGAGTCCCACGACTTCACCTGAGCTTGCAATAGACCTTGTGCGCCCTTTGGTTCATGGAATCAAAACTGTTTTGACATGTTGGCCAGTGCCCTTCGGTGTCACTGAAGCTCAGCCCGCGGACGGCGGTGTGTCAGTGTGCACCGGGAGGCCTGGGCCTCAGTCCCTGGGCTCGTGCCTACGCAACAGCAGGACCGCCCGCGGCCTCCCAGGACCAGTGACCGTCACCCGCAGTAAGGATCGGGGCGGCTCCGCCAGTTTCGGCCCTCTTTCCAAGACCTCTTTCCAAGGCGCTCTTTCCTAGCCTCACCCGAGGGCCGCAGAGCCGGACCTGTGCCGGGCGAGTTGGATTTAGCCCAGTTAGAGTTAAGATGGTATCATTAGCTGCGCACAGCGTGACTTCCCGCTAATCCTCTCTGCAACTTACAACAAGTTTAAATGTCCATGCATGATGTTATTAACTGGCTTTAGTAAGTGCTTAAGACCCAGATCTCTTTTTAAAGTAATCTCTGAACAAGTTCTACTGTATCCACCCAACAAGGAGATTAATATTTCCAGCAAATCTGATGATGGGGTAAGATGTGCCCTGAGCTCCTATGGGCAATGGGGGTAGAAGTGGGAGTTGCCCCAGGGAAGGGCCCAGAGTGGCAAGCGCTCACCAACGCCGGCCACCGAGCAAAACTTCCCCGCCCCCGCCCCCCACCCAGCTTCCCCGCAGGGAGACCCTTTCCGTTAGCAGCTTTTCACTAAGTTAATAACGGTGTGTGTGTGGTGGTGGCGGGGAGGGGGGATTTGGGGGTTACACAATATCTATATCAATGATATTGATCACGTCCAGGGAAGAAGCCTGGGCAAAACTAGAGACACCGAGTGTCAGCAAAAGAAAGCTTCTTAACCACAAGTTGCGTGCCGCCTGAGGAAGGTGCCCTGTGGCAGGGGGTGGCCGCTGGGAGATGCCTGCCTCTAACCGACGTCCAGGCGTGACTAAACCTCGACGCCACCCCCATTCACAAGCTCAACTCAGGGATTCCCAAGCAACCGCAGACCGGAGGTGGCGCAGAGGCAGTGACCGAGGTCGCTGATTAGGGGCCGAGAGGCTGGCAAATAATAATTTTAAAAAAAAAAAAAACCGGAATAGCCTTCGCGGACGCAGCTCAGCGTGCCAGGCAAAGGACAGTCTGACGACCCGCCCCTGCCGAGCCCCGCAGCGCGGCGCCGGTGTCCAGCAGCCTCCAAGGCGCCGAGCGCGGGCACGGGAACTTGAGCTAGCGCAAACTTGGGCGGCCTCCCAGCCTGCTACCCGGGCCGCAGCGCGCCCCCGGCCTCCCAGTCGCGCGCCAACCCGGGAGCGCGCGCGCCGGCGCACCAGCTCCATCAGCTAGAGGAGCCCGTCTCCCGGGAAACACCAATCAGACGCCCGCTTTCAGGCGAGGGCCGCGAGCCGCAGCAGCTGCAGGAGGACTCGGGCAGTTGGCGGTCACCGGGAGGCGTCGTCCTGCCCCGCGGCGGGCCAGCCGCCTTCGCTGCTGCCACTGCCTAGCCTAACCGCATCTGCAGCCAGTCACAGAGTCGGCTGTCTCCTCTTTGCACCGCCCACGCCAAGTACCTTGCAAGGCGGCTGCTAAGCCTGGCTAATTTTAGATCTCCAGAATGCGCTATGCCCGCGCTCAACTAAAACCAAGTCAAACCATCAAGCACAGTGATGTGCTGCTTTTTGAACAAATATGGCTCAAAACTCCGTATTTCCCTGAATAAAGTCGATTATCTGCACTTTTTAAAAGCCCTACCCCCTGTGGTCTGGCAGTTGGCTGAAAAGCGGAAAGCCACACGCTCCCACCTCAAACATGGTCATCACCTTTCTAAGGAAGTGCACTAACTCTCGCAGCCCTGATTGAGGGCAGATAAATATTCCTTAATATCAATCACAACTATATACTTTCCATTTCCATTCACCATCTTAGAATTAATTCCACAAATAAGTCGAACAGTTCCCAGAAGGGGTGAAATGGGTTCTCTGAGCAAACAGGAATAGAGGGTTCTGCTGATTTCTGTACTAGGTTGTTTAAGTTGTGTTAAGAACCGATGAGCAAAGAAACAGGGTTAACAAAGCCATCCATTAAAATCCAGAGACACTGAAGAACTGCCTTACATGTCCCAATTGCTGTAGGACCTGTTTAACTATCTCGAAGTAGTCATGTTAAAACAATCGACCCAGCATTATAGATATCTTTTTTACTCAATAACTGATTCTAATTAGTTCTTAGTCTTAAAGAACACCTTGTCCTGTGTTGCCCATCTCACCACTGCCACCCCCAGTTCCCACTAAATGCAACATATTATGGTGTGTTTTACTTAACTGTAGCACATTAGGGAGGAAAGGGTATCAATTTTCTGAAACCACAGTGACATTTCCAGATGTATAGATTCATAGGAAAAAAATAGATACATAGACAGTTACATACTGTCATTCATTTTCTAGCCACATTGGAAAATAAAGCCTTTGGTTTCATCTCTCCATTTTTGAAAAGTCAAAATTCCTAAAATGCTAAAATATCTTAAAATATTTATATGTATCCATCTATATGGCTTCCTTATAATTTAAATGGTTTCTTAATTTTCATCAGGCTACACAAAAATCAAATTAGAATTTTATATTTTTCCAAATAAGAAAATTATTTTAATTTTAAAAATAAACACAAAGAACTCTTGTGGTGGAAAATTTACTGTTCAAGGTGACCTAAAGAACAGTCACTTTGGAAAATATTCCATTTTGAATGTAAATAATGCATGTCTCATTATTATGCATAATAGCAACTTCATTAAGGGATTGATACTAGTGAAAATACCCATTCACATTCAGCAAGGACACTGAAGAAGTCTTCCTGAATCTTTTTTTTAACCTTTATCCAATTTTCATTTTTGTTGTTGTTTTGTATTTTTTGTATGACTATGTTTATCCTATATCCTTTATTATTTGATTAGTGAGTGACTTTTCAATGTTAATTTTCTGGTATAACAAAGTAGGGTAAAGAAAATAAATGGGTTCTATCTTTATATTTACTTTTACAGGTATCATTTTATCACCCTATTTCTAAGTATTTCATGAAAAGATTCTAGATGTCAAAACCTGCAGTTAACGTTCCTGTTTAGAAATACGCAAAATAATACCTTTGACGTTGGCAACTCAGATGTATTATTCAGCAAAACAGCAATTACTCATTGTTTTGCACTTACATGTTAAGAACTATGAGACACTTGGTGACACAATAACAAAATTGCAAAGTCAATTACATTTAAAATAGACATCCTAGTAAAACATACACAACCAACTCCATTTACTTTTTTTGAACTGTTTTGTTTCCTTTTTCTGACTGTTTACAGTCAAATAGATTTCGTGAATGTTAAACCGAAGGATAACTGATTTACACACATCATGAGGGGGAAAAAGTTAGAAAGTAGGGGGAGGGGCATAACATAAAAAGGAAGTGTATTCCTGGGCACGCCAGAATCCGCCTAGGGAGGTGCCAGAATATTCTTAAATATTTTGGGAAATGATGTTCTTTTGCAATGTCAATCACAGTGGCAAACTTTGAAAGAGCAGTGTGCCATAATTTAAAGCAAAATTTAAGCTAGATTCACACTAACAATTCTATGCAGGACTAAAGTAGTAAAACCCACATAGAGTCCATTTATATTTAAGAATAGAGAACTTCAGGTGGGGCTAGGTGTTTGTTTTATGGTATTTTAATTGCAGAAGCAGAATTTTTGTAATTTGAACTCGCCAGTACTGAATTCCACCTCTCATCCCAGCCTGAAGCCTGAATTGAAGTTCCCATCAGAAAATTAAAATGTTTGTCTGGATAAAATAACTTCTAAATGAACTATTTCTTTTCGTTTCTTTTTGTATTTTCTGCAATGTAGCCCCTCGCAATGATATTAGTTCTAGTGTGGGAAAATATTATAATTGAGATTTGGTAAGTTATTTGCAGACTTTTCTTTACAGTTTTTCTTTACACTGTGCTGACATTTAGTACAGCCCTGGTGAGGAAAACAATACTACCATTCATAGCTCTAGACGTAGATTTCAATCGACTTAAGCGGGCACAATGAAACTTGGTCATTCACTGGTTACCCATATTGTGTTCTCAAATTTTCTCTCAGCAAAAGTATAATGACTCAGTATTGTATGGTTGCATAGACAAGGGCTCGGAACAAGAGACACTAGTTTTGTCTGACGGTGTGAGAAAGTCGTGAAGGGATCTTTTCTTCCAGATGGTGTTAAATTCAGCTGCCTTTTTAACATTGGCCTTGCACAGCAATCTGCTGCTCCCCTTTCACAAAGACTGCACTTGGTTCCCACTAGTTAACATGCATACTCACGCAACCTGCAACTTCACTCCAACTGTTTTACAATGCAGTGGTATGCTAAATAAACTTGATCCGGTTTCTGCCAATGTTAAAACTAGGTTTCAAAGAACTACTTAACTGATATTTACACTTCTTTTGACTTAAATGTACATGCCTTTGGAATATTACGGGTTTCAAAGAAATATCACCTTATTATAAGGTCAATGTACAGATTATTTCCAACACCCTTCAAACCTATGCTCAGATACAGTACCTCTCTTCAACACACACAAATAAAACAAAATGTCAGAAGTTTGATGTGTAATAGAAAAAAGAAAAATTGGGACATGTTGCACCAAGGGCAGTGGAACAGCAAAAAATAAAATGAAAATAATAACATTGAAATGTATTTTTATTGATCGATAAGTTATGTAACATTAGTATGATACAAAGCAAGTTTGATATGACAATGGCAAACACATAATTATAATATTGTTTATTTTCCTTAGATGTTATATTTAACATATTTACATAAAAGACCAAGATGTAGGCAAAAGCTTCAGTAATTTGACTTCATTGAGTGCTTTCAGTAAACAATAGGTTTCTCCAGCAAACATCTTATTGCCTTAATTGAACCTCCTTGAAAAAGAAAACCACACACTTTGTAATGTAAATGTTAATTGTAGTAGACAATGGTTCTAGGTAAATAGCACCCCTGGACATGAAGTAAATGAAAGGAATACAGGCACTTAACAATGAAAGGTTGTTTGCACAAACAGTGCTTCAAATGTAAATAAACAAGGGTCTTCTCAACGGTCACTACAGTAGTAAAACTCTGGCACGTGTACAGCAGCCAAATTGAGAATTTATGTATAAAGTCTCTCAGACTTTCTAACTGAAACTAACAGTGGTTTAACAGGCTTCTCCAGTCTGAAGTCATATAAGGAATTGAAGCTACAAAGGAAATTGTACTACTTTTAAAGAAAAATTGTATATTTGGGATTGTCAATAATCTAGGCCACGTGGAAGATAACAGGCTATTTTGGATATTTTCTAATTGCAATGGTTATATTTCTGTGTAAATGCCTATACAAATGTTTGCTTGGTGACATATGGAAAACTTAAGGACTTTTATGAAAAGGCGACAATGGGGACCTCCAAAGCGCCAAAGTTTCTGCTAGGCATAGTGTTATTTTTAGATTACATTAAAATGGCTATTTAGACCCATCTAGCTGAGACTATTCCAAAACAAACTTTTTATCATATTGTTATCATAATCAACTTTCTACAGGCTAATGACTTTATAGTTTTACTTCTAGTGTATATCTACTAGCACAATTAGACCAAGTTCCTAGATGTATCATGTTAAGAGGTAAAAAGCCTCATGAAATTATAATAACGACTGTTATATAGAGATATGTATTTTATCTCTATACACATTTGCCCACCCAAAACAAAAGCAAAAATGTGGTCACAAGGCCATAATCTCATGGACTGAGATTTTGACATTAGGGGCAGGCAGTCATGGGACTTTCTTGGAATTGCTTTCTACTAGCTTGCCTTGAATTCTGAAAATCTCAAACAACGAAGAAAGCCAAACTTAATTATGGCCAGATTAAACAGTGGTTAAAAAATTAACAGAAGCAGACTATGTAGCAGCTACAGACCAGTTGGTGCTGCCATTTGGGAAGCTGCAGATGGCTGTGGGTGGGAAATGCCTTTACTTTCTTAAGCGATGGAGATGAGTATGGTGTGTGCACTTGATGTTTTTTTCATACCCCCACCCCCCAACAGGGCTGTCTGTCATAGGCTGCCCGGCCCCGCTTTATCACTTGCCCCCGAGCGTGGGAATCGGAGCGTCCTGCCGTTCACATCTCCTGCATTCCGTTTAGCGGAATCAATTAGGCAAGACAGACCCTCAGATTCCCCACCCCCTTTCCATTTTTGTCAGGTCTATATACGTCCTAATTATTTCAGTTTGGGATGCCAGAGCTGTTTCCTGGATAGACCTGATCATCCTTAAACAAAAAGAGAGGAGGCGCACACGTGGGTTGTGGCGTAAATGTCACTTTCATTTCCAATGCTAGGCGCAGAGTAAGACAGAACATTTTTTTAACACTTTGACAAGAGGGGAGGCGATCTCGTCTCCATCATGTCTTTCTGCTTCAGTAGCTTCCTCAAGGAAACCCTCTTGGAACAGAGAAGCATCTGTCCTTGTATTTTGAATAGAAGAATAAAAATCAGCCCTTGCTTTTTTTTTTTTTTTTTTCATTTTGCCTGCTAGCTCTAAGTCCTCAGTAGATACAAATTATTAACCTTCCAGTATAAACTTTTCTGAAAGTCTAATTTCGTACAAATTGACATACAGCCCAAATACATGTAAAGTAATTTCCAAGCACAATCTTCAAATTTTGAGAGGGAGGTGCCTCCCAAAGGAACTGCCCAAGTCTACATATTATGGAATCATTTTTAAACTAGGTACCAGACATCTCTGCAACACCTTTCTAAGAAAAAAATCCCTGATATAACTTTTGCCTTAAAATAGAACAAACTGCACATGCATCTTTACTCATTATCACTATACACTTCTCCTTTGCAGCTGCAACAACCCCTCTCAAGACATATCTGGAACCTTGATATTTTAGCATGTGTGTGTCATTTAATTTTCTCTCATCCCACCTTTAATCATAAGGAAAAAAACAAAACAAAAACAAAGTTAGATTCAATAAGTATTCCTGACCTTTCTGGTTTTTACTGTCTCTCGGCTGTAGTCTTTCATTCTCACACGCTCCCCGGCGATCTTGAAGGAGTTTTTACTTTCGGTTATCTAGCTTTATGAAGACCAATACACTCATACAGCTAGATAACCAAAGATAACAACTCGCTTCCCACACAGGCCTCTGTCTTCCTCTTGCCAGACTCCAGGTCCTGATCCTTTCTGGCAGTACCGAAGAGTGGTCGTCCAGGATACTTGCCGCGCTTAAGATTCCTCCTTTTATGTAAATATGACCTGGTTTCTGTTTGTGTGTGTGCGCGGCTAAAACATCCAAACGAGATCTGTTGCCTTCAGAGTTTATTCCGAACTTTTCTTTTTCCTTTCAGCAAGTAATCTCCGGCAGCGTTAGCCAACAATTCATCTATTAATATCAGAAAATAAAACCAGCTATTAAGGTGCAGCAAGCTGTTACGAGTGAGCAGCAGCATCCGTCCCTTCACAGGCCTCTATTTGCATTGTAAATTGCTTCTTTCTCACGCAAGACTCTTTAGCCTCTCTCTATAGAGATGTATAAAGCCAACGGCAATTTCCAGCGCAGGTTAAGGAGGAAGGAAAAAAAAATCCCATTCTATAGAAGTGACAGCTGATTCAAGGATCTGTTCCTGATCCTTTTTGGTTAGGCACCATGGCTTTTTACCAAGCGGTGGCAGCTTGATTGCACATATCTTGTGTGTATGTGTTTTAGGGGGAAGATCCTCGATTTCACAGGGCTTCTAGGCTGGGAAGGAGAAGATGCCGTCTTGCTGGCCTGCTGCTGCCCCCGGTCTGAAAGAAGGAGAAAAGGGCCATCATTGGAGGGGCTTTCACTGCCAAATTGTGGACCAGCCCGGCAAGGTCAAAGGTTCGAGACCGCGGGAGACCAAGGTAATGATGATGTCATGAGAAATCTCAAGTACATGGTTATTGATATGCATCAGTGATCAGCCAACTGCCCCACGCCTGCTGCCCGAGCAGCGGCAGCGACAGCAGCAGTAGCGGCAGCATTGCAACAATCCCTATTTTCTCAATCAACATCTCTTCCGCTAGCACTACCGACTGCTCCTGGAAAAGCAACCCGCGGCCTTTTACCTCCTCCGTGCTAGTGTAGATCGTTCTAGTATCCAAAGACTGGAAGAAATCTCTCTCTAAGGACAGATAAAAGCATTTCAGATCTGGGGAACGTCTTTGCCTGCATTTTTCTTCTGGCAGATTGCATAGGCAGACAGATGGAAGGCACTTTGCTATTGCTTAAAGCAGGGCCTCGTTTTCTGGGGCTGGGAATCAGATCTGTATTACGCAGTGAGTCGATGTGTGATTACATTGACAATTTGCTCTGGTGGTGTGTTTTTAATGGCTTCACAGCTCAGTCATGTTTTGTATCTATGTACCATGGCGATAGGGCAGCATATTTTGTTCTGTAAGTTCGAACTGAATGCTCTAAGCAAGCGGACTTCATCGTGGTTTTTAAAAAATGACTACATATGTAGGGTGTGTGCGTTAGAATGCAGCACAGGTAAACCTTGCAGCAATAGTTTCTAATGCTGTACACAACTCTGCTGTAATGAAAATCCTGAGCCTTTGTCTATTGTTTTAAACATCAATTTTCATACAAAAGGATAATGTAATAGTCTTGCTTCTGAAACTATGAAAAAAAACGTTGTTACCTCGTGAAGAACACATATAAAACACCTGGATGTTAAGAGCATAACTCTGCCCTACCTTCCCCTTCTCCAACCCCCACCTTTCTTCTATCTAGAGGGGAATGTTGTTTTATTAATTAATTAGCCTCATTCCTTTTCTTAGAACTTTTCAAAGTGTGAATATGATCACTTCAAAGAGTCCTTTTCTTCTTCTCTCTCCTTAGTAATGAGTAATCTATGTCTAACTCATCTATAATACATGCAGTTGTAATATTCAAATGTCCCTCAACAGAACATCTAAGATAGTCTACATTAAATTCATATTTACCAAGGGTGAACCTTATGAACTGCTTTTCAAAATTTCAAGTTATGTTTGGTCATATTGCTATTCTTTAAAATATATGCTATTAGAGTAATCTTAATATTCATTGCACACATGACTACTTTATCACAATACTCTCAATTCTATAGATTATTTTCCCCAACAACTAAAACACTTTTGGAATTAACATACACTCTTTCATTAATTCAGTGACTTATTCATTTATGACATGAATGTGAACATGCTTACTGAATTATATACAGAGCACATATATGTAAACCCTATAAAAAAGACTAGCAAGAAAATCAGAATAGTTAGGAAAAGCTTATAATCAAGAGTTTAAACTACAATATTACACCAATTAAAGATATGATTTAGTAACATAGATGCCAACTTTTCCCTAGATTTTTTATTTATTTACTTTTTTTGGTGAACATTCCAGTACTGATTATTTAGAAAAGACTAAGCTGTTGAAATTGTTCATCTATTTTTCTTACCAAATTATGGTACAAGAGGTACAATCAGAAATGGCTGCATTGGGTTATACATAAAATGCACAAGCAAACCAAAAACTAACTCAGAGAAACACACCTCCATGAAGTTACTGTTCCTTCTCGAACTAGCTGGTCACAACATACACTACTAAATAAAAATGTAACACATCACTGAGGCACATTCCACCTTAGACATTACATAAAACACTAATGAGCTCTGCCGCCTTGGAAGAGTGAGAGTATTGTGGCCTTGCTTTCCAAGACACAGATGCAGAATCATTAGTGATTTGGCATGTATTACATAAAGCAAGCATGTGGTCAGATGACAGGTATTTTTAGAATATCTTTTTGCTTTATATATACTTGGGTGGGGGCTGGTGGAAGCAAAGAGATGTCATGCATTTGTCTGTGCATGTTTATCACCCCCATATCTGTGTGAATTTGCAAAGTAACATGGCTATATTTCCACACTTAGCAACTAAATGCATTTTTAGAACCAAAGTATCCATCATGAAAGCCAAGACACTGAACATTTGAGATGCTTTTACAATTAAAAGCTATAGAAGATACTGTCTTAAAACAGCATCTTCTAGGGCAATGCCACATAGTCATATCAACTGGACTCCGGGCCTGGTCCCCATGTCTGGCATATATAACATAGACTCATCATGGGAGTCCCAATAAGTGAAAGGAACCAACATTAGGATTATGAGCAGTCTGTTCATTAGCCAGATAGCCAACTAAATATTTTACTCTCCACCATCTCTCAGGATATGCAGAAATAAAAACTACACAGTAAGGCTTAACACAGAGCATCTGATTATTTTGAATATTGCCAAGGTTTATATGATGGTTTATACATATTTCAAAGACTGTATTATTATATAGGATGTGAGACAAGTTGAAACAATTGTGTAGCCCTAAAGATTCCTAGCAATGTCTGTCACATATTAAGAGCAACTATTAACACCTACATGTTATATCAGATATTTTTGCTTTCAAATAGCTATTAAGCTGAGCAGAATACCAGTTTTGAAATCTGCATTCTGAAGGATATACTGAATTTAAATGGTTTGCCTGCTCATTCACTAATAAATTCCCATTAATGGCCAGTAGATTAGGACGTGATTGTCATGCTTGTTTTCTAATCTTTTTATAGATCTCCAGATGGCTGAAACATGAATTGAAACATTCTGGTTTACCTGGGAGTAGACAATCTCTATTTCAGTTAAAAGTGAAAAGTTACGTTTTCCACATTATTTGGATCAGAATTATGCTATTTCATAAATTCAAATACATTAGGTTTGTCACCATATTTAGAACACCTCTGAATCCTATTCAGATTACTGCAAAGCACATGAAGAACTGGCCTATCACTGAAATCCCCTTTTAATATTTGGTTTGTATGATTCAAATGCATGTAAACCACAGTGCACTAGTACAGTCAAGACTACCATTTTCTACATAAAAGCCATTTAATTTACAGTGATTTGTATAGTTCAGGCAAGGTACCTGACTGGCTTACTTTCTAACAAAAGTATTCTATTATTTACTCTGTATCTTGAATTTCTTTTTTATAGGCAGTTACAGGTTATATTTGTATTATGCTTGATATATAATATACAAAGGCTCCCTGTAGAGGAGAAGGCTGCACATATAGAAACTTAGAGCATGAATTAGGAGATATGCAACCCACTGCATGCCTACCGCCTAGTAAATAATACTCTATTTTGTACATCACTTGGATTTTATCAAATGTAAATTTTAAAATTACCTTTGGTTGGTTGGATTGTCTATTCATTTTATGCTTCTTTGCAGTCTCATCTGAAAAATAGTCAAGAAAACAAATGATCACAGTTTATATATATGTATACATATGAAGTCATATAGATATTGCTTCATTTAAAATATTGCTATTAACATGATTCCTTAAAATGCCAGAGATTCCATAAAACCCCAGTACAATGTATCCTAGGTCTCAGCACCCACGGGGTTAAATATGCTAATTTGCATTCAAATGGAGACATGCATGATAATGTGAATGCAAAATATGCAGAATCTGGAGGGGTTTGAGAAATTAATTTTTCTTTCTTCTTTTCTTTTATTTTTAGCTTGGAAGGAAGAGGGACTCTTAAAAAAACATTAGGGACTTGAACCTTGTAACCTGCCATACAAAAGAGGAGAGTCCTTCCATGTAAGGATTTTAAGTCTGGAACAAAGTCTTATTTTCTAAATGTTTAAGGAACTGAATTTCCAGGCCTTTCGAACAATGGCAATCCCTGGATAAATATCTACTCCATTAGAAAGATGCAAATAGTTTACTGTAAGGCCACAGCACCGTGAGATGTGCATTCATATCTATGGCTCCTGATTGGCTCTTTCCTCCAGTAAATCAATGAATAATGTAAAACCTGATTGCTGTAAAGTGGTGGATTTTTGAAAATTTCCCTTCCCCCATTCCCTCTCGATCCAACATTCAGGAATTCAATACTCCCCAAAATAGGTTGTTTTTCTTTTATGATTTTTTAATGCTTATTGTTATTTTGGACTGGAGGGGTGGGGCTATTGGTTTTGCAAAATGAAAGTATTGCCCTGGTTTAATTATGCTGACTGTGGGAGCTCGCTTCCTGAGACAGCGCCCTAATTACCGGTGCCAAGGTGGAGAAAGGAGGGTGGTAGACAGAGGTGGACACCAAGAAAGGGAGGAAACGGAACCCGACTCTGCGGTGCTGGGCCCAAGGCAGCCACAGCTCCAAAGGGGCCCCCGGCCGTGGCCGTGACTTGACAGAGCCTCCGGTCTAACTTCTGATCAATTCCACTGCTCTCCTGACCCCTCAAGACAGTCCCCCATTCAAGCACCGCGGGTACATTTGCAAGATAAAACGCCGCAGACACTAATGCAAATACATTGCCCGAGTTCCCATCACCCTGGGTTCCTGCAGATAATTCCAGGCCACAGAAAGGAGTTCTTGCCTTCCTCAGCCGGGTCTAGACTCTAAGCAAACCGCAAAGACCTAGCTCCGTTTGGATACCAGAAGCGTCTTAAGCTGAACCGCTCCAAGTACCAATAACTAACCATGATGGTTGCATCTTGATGAATCTGAACTTGGGATAACCCTGTAAAGCGGCCTCTCACCTCCCAAAATTCAAAAGGCAAAGAGAAAAGGGAAGTGGAAAGCCACCAGATCTACTTAGCTACTGTACTAAGTTTTCCACCAAAATCTAATCAGACCCTCGCTTCCTTGCCAGGTAATTGCAACTTTGGGGCGGTTAAAGGGAGGCGAATTCTTCAAAATGCGAATTCGAATACAGAAGTGCAAAATACAAGTGCATTTTGCTCTAGGTTTAAAAGGGAAAAGCCCCCCCAAACACACCACCACCACCACCACCACAAAATTACATACAAAAATTCCCTTTTCCAACGCGAAGATTTCCTGGCATCTCTCTGCGATTGGGGGTCAAGCCGCTGGATAATTAACAGTACTGGCTAAGAAAACTCACGAGATCAACAGGTTTAACATCCGAGGCACACAATCAATTAGCTGAAGCAAAGCCCCGGACTGGCCCTCGGAGCGGCCCGCAGCGGGACTCTGCGGGCACCGGCTAGCGGGCGAGGTGAGGAGTGCGGGCGCGGGGCCGCGGCGGGCACTGCTGGCCTCGCGCCGCGGGCGAGCTGCAGCCTGAGGGCCGCCACGATACTCACTTGATCTCCCTGCGCCAGGCAATGCTGCCCCCCAAATCCAGCTGGGCAGGAACCGAGGCGCCGGCTGAAAGACAAGATCCAAAGTCACAGCACGGCCGCAGCACACAAACAGGCTTCTTTCGGCGTCTCCAAAAAAAAAAAAAAAAATGTTTTTCTCATCATTCCTCTCCCCTGCTCAACACATTTAAAACTGCCGCTCAATTCCACATGGTGATTCTTGGTTGATTGCGTCTAAAATAGTTTAAATGGGTCTTCCCTTCTGGGGAGAGGGAGAAGGGCGCAAAAGACCAAGGAGTAAAAAAAAAGCCAACTTTTACCCCCCATGCCAGGCACTTGCTCCCTGAGCCTCGGAGTGGAGAGTGAAGTGGTGTGTGCGAGGCTTGGCAAGTTTTTGGGGGGGCTGTCCAAGGTCTAGTCCAGCCCCCTCTGCCGAGGAGGACGTGCTCTGAAACTCAACCAATTTCCCCACTGCTTTTGTTACTGATGAACTGAAGCCCTATTGTTCATCCATTGCCACGGTCTTTTTCAGTCCCCACACTACGTTCTGCGTTGCCAGAGATAATGAATTTGCACCCAAACCTCTCATAGTCCCCTCCTGACAGACGGAACAAATTAGAAATGTCTCGTCTGAAGGAAGGCAATGGCTACATTTTCCTATTGTAGGATGCAAAGCACACATTTCTTTGGAAACTTCTTTTGCTTTTTTCTTTTTTTTAAAATCCTTTTCTTCTCTTTTTCTTTTTTCCTCCAGTTTTTTTTTCTCTCTCTTGGTTTCTTAAGATTCTTCTTTTTTTTTTATTACAGAATCTCCCTGTCGTTTTTCCAATGCACTGTTTTATGTAACTTGTGAGTCTTCCTAACCTTCTTCCCCTTCTTTCCTCTCCTTTCTTAAGGACTCCCTTTGCAATTTTATTTACAAACTTGGAGAATGACCTTTTGACTCGCAGACTTTTTTTTTTTTAAAGGTCTTTTGGTTCAAGTCCCCCTTCTTCACTCCTCCCCGTTTGTGTCGTGGTTGTTAAATGTGTTTAGCTAAAGACAAGCAATGCATTCTAAAGAATTTTATTCTCTAAACTCTAGAGGTATTCTAAATGTACCAGGGACGCGCCATAGGGGTCATCTATTTGAGGAGGAAGAAAAAGCGGGTGTGTGTGTGTGTGTGTGTGTGTGTGTGTGTGCGCGCGCGCGCGCGCGTCTGCCTTCCACGGAAAGAGAGACGGAGAGATGTGGGAGGGTGGGGGTGGAAGTATGCAGACAGAGAAGGGTGGGGGCTTCGAGGGGAAGGTGGGCTTCCTGCAACACAAGCGGAGAGGCTGTCAGGGGTGTGGGCACGGGGGTGCGGGGAGGCGGTGCAGGAATCCGTCCCGCCGAGTGCCGTCGGCCCCTGTGGGCCTGTTTGCGCGCCTGGGGCTGGCCGCATTCTGGGCGCGGGTGTCTGCGTGCCGGGGTGGTAGTTCCGAGCCTGCGCGCGTGCGACCGGGTACGGGAGGGGGAAGAGTGCCGTAAAAATTCAGACGAGTGGCCCGTATGTAAATGCAGCCCGCGGGGAGCAGGGAGGCGGTAATGACAGCCGCTGGCGCTCAGCCCCGCCGGCGGCCCCTAGCTTTCCCGCCAAGTGCAGCCGGAGGACAGACAGCCATGCGTGTCCTTGGCGGGAGAGCCCCCACCCGCCGCGCGCGCCCGACCCCCGCGCACACGCACACACTCCCCTCGCAGGCGTGGGGCCCAATGGCCACGAACATGTCAGGAAAACAAAGCTGGGGCTGCGAGGTGGAACGATGAAACGGCACACTTGGCGGCCGAGGGCAGAGCGGAGAAGTCGCCACCACAGCCACCGGCGCCCCTTTCTTGCCTGCTCGTAGATCTGCCCTCCGGCCCAGAAGAGGCCGAGGACCATTTCTTAGCTGCCCCAGAGGAGGGGGCGAGCAGAGGAGGGGGCGGATGTGCACAGGGAGGTGCCAGCGGTCCGGTGCGCGGGCACGCACACGCCGGCGCGCAGGGCTGCCGCGGGCGGAAGGAGGGGAATGACAAGGCCTCGGCCGCGTCTCGGAGAGGCACTACCTCCGCGCTGAGGCCGCTGAGTTTCAAGTGCAAAACACCAGGCCAAATCCGGCAAGGCGGCGGCTACAGAATGGCTCACACTTCAAGCCTCCTTCCTCAAACAATCCGATGGGAAGGACCTGGCTGTTCAGGGGAAGCCTTTGCTGGCCTCTCTTTTTACATGGGGTGAAGTCGAACCCCAATCTAGGAGCCCTGGCCTAGATGGCTCCGCAGATGAGTCCCAGACGTGGCCATGGAAAGACTGATCTCTCTCTGCTCAGAGCGCCTGCCTCGGTGCTCACTAGCGCAAGCACCTCCCAACACACATACATACATACACACACACACACAACACAGCACTCCCATCACATTAAAACGCGCGCTCATGATCCTGCCGTTAATGAAGCCGAGGCGCATAATGAGTGCACAGGTAAATAGGTACCGAAACCAGAAGACTTCACCAGTCGGCTGGGCGATTTACCTCTCCCTACAGGGAGCACTTGTAGTTATCGTGTTTTAGGAGTGATTTGCTGTTGTCTGTGGTCTCTCGCTCCTCTTCTTGTGGAGAGAAGCCAAAAAATATATATGTTCCGTGGTCAGAGTCTTCTTTCTGATAAGCTACCCGAGCATTGGTCTAAAACATCTGTTTTATCTGTTGATTTTGGTTTGTTGTTTTGGGGAGTGTTGCTTTTCTGAGGGAAGCAAAAGAACGTGTGTGTGGTGGGGCTGGAAGCTCAGGGCAAGAGTCTGCGTGTGCGGCCGGAAGGCTGGCGAGTCTGAGAGCCGCGCGGTGCAGAAAGAAGGCGGCGGCTTGTCCTCCCCCGGGGCCGGCACTGGTCCCTTGGCACCCCGGCCTGGGCTCGGCTACTGCCGCCGCCGCCCGCGCTCTCGGGCTCCGCCGGCTGCCGCTCCGTGTTTTCCCCCATCCCGGCTTCACGTTCAAGGTTTAGCTGCGAGGTCACGTCCATTGACGTCAGCTCCCTGTCTCCCTCTACGTCCGGCTACATTTACATACATCAAGGAAATTAGGGCATTAAAAAAATATGCAAATCCTGCGCGAAGAGGAGCGGGTGCATTCCTGGCGCGATCGCCTTTTATTGAAGCTTTTAATTAAAGGGGCCAGTTGGCGAGCCCCTGAAACAACCGCCAAAACCCCCCAAAAGAGAAAAATAAACGCTGTAGCCTTCGAGAACGGTTGTTTCGGCTCCTGTTCTGTGGGCGGCTGAGGACCGCCGGCTGCCCGGCTCGGAGAAGAACAGGTTAGAGGAGGCAGCTCCAGCCCATGCATAATCAGGGCTCCGCGGCGCCTCCATTCTTTCCTCCTCCTCCTCCTCCTCCTCCTCCTCCTCCTCCTCCTCCTCCTCCTCCTCCTCCTCCTCCTCCTCTTCCACCTCTCCTCCTCCTCCTCCTTCTCCTCCACCTCCTCCTCCTCTTCTTGCTCTCGCTCCTGTTGGTTCCAGCGTGTATTATTTTTAATACTGATGCATATGTAAAGGTATATTTGCATTTTTTAATTTGCGAGAATTTCAGATTTTGTCATTTTATTGGTTCCCTTTCCCTCTTTTTTTTTTTGGAGGATTTTTATTGTTGTTATTTTATTATGTCTATGTGTCTCTCTTGTCCCTTTCTGTCTTTTTTGGCGAGTGTCTGCTGCTGTCTCTTGCTAGATAATATACACAGTTACCTCCCTGCTTCTGTTTATTTAAGGTTACAAATATGCACATCTGTCATGTATGCAATGCCAGCTGTATAACCTCCTGGTTTGGTCATAAAGGAAAATACACATTTTTTTTTCTTTCTTGACATACCTTGATGGGCTGTAGTGCCCATCGCTCAAGGCTCAAAGTTTGATTGTCTAATTAACTTCATATTAGCAGAAACACAGTTCGGGGCCAGTGCTTTCGAGATAATGTATGTATAAGTGAAGTGATTCCAAAGATTTCTAAATAATTTTTGTGCTGATTGCCTGAGAGGTGCGGCATTCCCCGCCCTATTGCTTTCTAGCATTTCTTATTGAAAAAAATATATATATTTTAAAATGGGTAGACACAGCAATGGACAGCCTTCTGCAAGGAAGACATTTTCAACCATGTTGTATGTTGTACCTTATTGGCTGCATTCAAAATTTACTGAGTTTCATTTTTATCTTAATATGGCTGGAAACAAGGCACATTATCTTGACTGAAAAGCATCCTTGATTCCTGACTTTGAAATGAAAGCAAATACACAAATAAAACAATTGGCTATATTAAACCAGTTGATGTGGCTTAAAATATACAGGCCTTGAGTTAGATTTCAAGCAATGGTAATCTTGTTTATAGGATCGGATTCTCTTTCTTGGCAATATAGCTATGCAGCACGATGGCTTTTTTCCACCTTTTAATTCCCCCAAGCTATCATTTAAAAAAGACTCAATCTATAATTGCAAACCCTGAAAGAACAGCAAGTATGCACACATGCAGCTTATTCAATTAAACAAGTCCAAGTACATGCACAGGTAATTAGTTTTCTTATGAATGACTTACCTGCACAGATACTCAGGCCAAGACTCAGCCCTCCCCAATGGCCTTCATGTATAAATATTCACATGTATTTCCCCCTATTTCAAACCTAAAGCGGTATGCCATCTTTCATGCTGGACTATCCAGCATCCATTTTCAGCACCCTTAACTCTTATGGAATTTCCAGCCTTACCTCTGGCTGTAGTTTTTCCAAGCCTACACCAAAGTGCTCATATGATATGTCACCCAATAAAAAGTGGTCAGATGGCTACACGTATGACATTAAAAAGCAGAAACACATTCATCCTTCAGGTTCGCCTTTACCTTGCCATATATAGCAAGATTACGTTTCCTAAAATACATTTTCAGCACATTTTATGAATAATTGCAGGATTCCACAACTGATTGCAGAATAGCCGGTTTCTGGGGGGCACCTGGCTGAGTGAAACAATTCGGCAGGCTCAAGGTCTCTTTGAGTTTGGCTGCAGTTAAATTGCGCGTGGCTGTTTGTTCCTGCCTGGACTCTCCCACATACCTGCCTACCTTTATGTAGGATCAGGACAAACACACCGGCCACGTTGCAGGGCATAGAGTGTCGGTGCATATATTTAGATGGCAGTAGCAAGGAACGCGTGCGTGTACGGCTGAGCATGCATGTGTGTACAGATGCGTGTGTATGTGCGCGCGCGCGCTATGTGACAAGGAACACAGAGAGGTACACCTCTTATCTCTGATCTCTCTGTAATCTCCTTTTCTGTTTCTAATCTCCCTTATTGGCGCATGGTAGTAACCCAAAGCGTGTGAACCGTCACCGTCGCTGCCGTGTGCGCGCTGTGGCTTACCCCGAGGGCCGGTGGCTCGGTGACTCGCTGGCTAGGTGGGTGTTGGGGAAGAGGGTGGGTAGCGTCGCTGCCGCTGCCGCCGCGGGTCCGGGTGCTCTGTCCCAGCCCGGCAGCCGAGCGCGCAGTGTCGGAGCCCCCTCCCACCCCGCCCTCACCCCCATCCTCCCCTCCCCTCCCTTCTGCGCCTCCCCCAACCCCCCGCCCCGCATTACCATATGGAGGCCGAGTCCCTGCGAATCACAGCAGCAGCGGGAGGTATTTGAATAAGCCCCGCAACCCCGCGCAGACCCCAACTCCTCCGAGAGCAGCATGCCCTGCACCAAGAGCCACCACTCTGGCCGGTAACCTGGCAGCGACAGACAACTCCCCAAAGTGCCCTGCGCGCGGTGGAGAGAGGGTCTGCTGAGGGTACTGGGTCTCCCACTTGCTACTTTTATATTAACTTGACATAGAATCAGACAATAAATGAGAGGAGAGAGAAGAGAAGAGGAAAGAAGAGACAGAAAAAGGGAGAGGCGCTGTAAAGGGGAGAGAGAAAACAGAAGCGAGAATGGGAGAGAAAAAGGAGAAAGAGAACCCAAAGGGTTGAGTTAAAGAGAGAGTAAAATGGGGACCGGGTGGGGAAACGGTGGGAGGGGGAGAAATACCCAAATATCTGAATTTGGACTTCTCAAGCTAAAAATACCACCTCACTGAACTTCACAACCTCCAATGAGACACGTGTTTCTCCCCTCACCACCACGTCACCGAATGATTAATTTGCCGTCTCAATCAGAAATAATTATTTAGAATTGTATAACAGATATAGGACTTAGCAGAAAGAAGCTCATTTTATGAAACATAGCGAAAAATATATGACATTTAAAGATGATGTTGGCTACCTCACGGTAAAAATTAAGGCTTGCCTTAACGACTCGGCAGTTGTCCAACCATGTCCTCTGAAATGGTGAGATGGCGGCCCAGGGCCAGCAACAAGAGGTGTTCCGAAATATTTTGGACTTTAAGTGAAAATTTTTTTTCTTCCTGTCTCAAATTTTATTGTTACGTTTTTCTTCTTCACGAATTTATTCCTTTTACCTAAATTTTACAGATAATATGTGAATCTTTTAAAAAATTTTACTGCAAAATGTCACATTTTGACTGAAGATATGATTTTAGACGTTAATTTAAACACATAGCCAGTTCCATTTTGCAAACTAACTCTGAATAGCACCTGATTCTGAATTTAGCCAATTCAACTCACTCTCCCTCTCCCTATCCTCAAATCAGAGCAGTGATTTCCCTGTACAAAACAATCAGAATCATACTAAAATCTCCAGTCACCTAGAGGATGTACCCATTGTAAATGTCCCTTTAGGTATTCATAAGCCAAACGCCCTTCTTTTGAAACACATACAAAAAGAACGCCTCTGATTAATAATCTCTTTCGCGGCACACTGAGGCCGAAGGCAGGGAGCCGCAGGACGCCAGAGAAGGGCGCAGAATTCTCAATACCTAGCATTTCAATGCAGATTCCAAAGATTCGCTAACTGCTAGGTTTTCCAAGAGGAAATAATATTTGGCAAGCAACGCTTTTGGGAAAGACAACCACATTCCAAATACTGGCTCCTTCCTGGGCCTGGGGAGGGGACTGCGATCGCGGTTACCCGGCACTTCTGTGTTCATGTGTGTACAAGGTGGTATGTAGCCCACGCATGTAGCCAGGCCTAGGTTTCTTTCTTTTCTTTTTCTTCTTCTTTTTCTTTTTTCTTTTTCTTTTTTTTTTTTTTTTTTTTTTTTGAGGCAAGAATATTGAAACCAATCCACTCTTTCTGTAGCTAGCTCCCACGAAGCTGGGATTTTCAACCTCTTGTTTATTCGTAAAGCCCATATGGAACCCCGGTTGAATCTCCCCTCTTCGGATTTTACCAGGAGGCCCTCAGTGCCCCACCGCCGCCCATGGCACGTGAAGAGAAAGGAGGGAGAGTTGGGAGCCACGAGAGAAGCCGGCTCGGAGCCGCTTCCGTCGGGGCCCATGTTTCGCCCCAACAGACCCGTCTCTCCTTTCTCTCCCCGAAGGTACTTCCTTAGGCCGGCAGTGTCGCTACGGTGGTAGCCAGGTGAGCACGGGCACAGTCCCGGGGCGGGGGCGGGTAGAGCGGCCCTCTCTCGGGAGCTCCGGTGGGTCTGCGAACCTGCCGGGAGCGGAAGGCTGAGTGGCGCTGGGGGCCCGCGCGGGGCTCCTGGCTCCCGCCGGCAGGGGAACAGCGACACCTACTGGCCGCATGGGTACCGCGCCCGGGCCGTCAGGGCTGCCCTGGGACGGGGTGCCGGGCTCCGTGGACTTGGGAGGCCGCGGGAAACTTCACCGAAGGCTCTGCGGACTGCTCTAGGACTCGTCCGCCCTGGAGAAGACAAAGCCACGCTTTCTGGAGACCCCTGGGAGGACTGTAGGATGGAACTGAACACACAGGCACACACGCATGCCCATTTTTTCTGGGGAACCGGATAAACCCTCAGATGCAGTTGCCCACCGTCCCTTGGTTTTATGAGAGAGACCCAAGCAGAGGTCGGAGCCTTGACCTCCTCAGGTTCATGACCCAGGCCTCTTCACCGCCTTTCCCAGTTCAGCACTGACTAAAGAAGATATCTTTACAAATTAGGAAAAGAAAAGAGTTCATTATCCTCCCTGAAGCGGGGAAATGAGTGAGTCAAAGACACAGACTCACAGGCAGCGGTTGGCGCCGGGCACACGAACCGGCCGAGCCCTCCTGCTAGCCAGCTTCGGGCACCTTTAGTGCGCCCTGAGACTGCCGCCAGGGAGTGAAATTTGGTAGCTCTTCTTTAAGAATTACAATCTTCTTAATTACTCCTGAAATAAAGGCAAATTTGGGCTACTGGTGATATTTTTGAGAACTACAGGTATATATGCATATATAAATATATATATTTAAAGCATATATACCAAAGCAAATATATACATAAAGTATATGCATATGTGTGTGTACATATATACTCACACACATACACATGTGTGCATACATTTACATATATATCTTCTGCGACATGGCTTCGGTTGTTGGCTTATGTTGGGGAAGGTAAGAGGTTGTGAAGGCATGGCAGGTCTGATGAAAGCTCAGCAAGGTTGGGGATGGCAAAAAAGCAATTCATGTATTCCAGATTCACTTTCTCTTATCTAGTCTTTTCTGTAATAGCATATAGCCATTTCATATGGGAAGGAGATGTGATGTTGGTCCCAGCAGCGGGTAGAGGAGGGGGGAACCTCAGCTTCCATTATGCCCCAAGATGCCTTCTTTTTCCCCTTTTCAGGTTCTGAGGCTCACTTGGGCCTAAGAAACCTGGCTGAGTGTGATTCTTATACTAACCTGCTCAAAAGTAAAACATATTCCCTTTCCTCGAAACACTGGGGTATCGGAGCTAATTTCATTCCTTAAGATTTCTATGTAAAATATTGCTTATTAACAAACCTCAGAACTAAAGGCAGTTTTTTTCCATTCAAATTTCAAGAGTTCATTTTGGAAATTATTTTTCTTAGCTTTACATACCGGTTAGAACTAGGGTCTAAAAGATTTTGCCTGGAAGGTGGGAGAGCTTATTAGGACTAAATTTTTGTCTTCGTTCTCTACAGTCACAAAAGTTTGCTAATTCTGTTTTATTTAAATACAATTGGAAGCTTTTAGTGTCTCTAAAGCCAGGAGTTTTAGGTCAGGTCCCCCTCTCTCTCCCTCTTAAAAAGAAATCACTAAAAGGCCCAGGAAACCTGTATTTCAACTCTGTTCTGCAAGTATTTTTTTTCTTTTTAAATTTTCTTACAAGTGGATTTGACTGTGTCCTGATAATACAGGAATTCACATCGAAGAAGAGACTCTTAGCAGTTTGTATGATATACAAATAAACCTATATTATTAATAATAAAATTGGGCTTTATCCTACTGGCATTTTTTCTTGGCAAATCCTGTTTCCCACTGCATTTCAAAGTCAGCTTTCTCCTTATAAAAATGGAAACATTCATAGCACAGGAAAATATTTATTAAAAAATTACACTGGGCACACAACAAGCACCCATCAACAAAACCCAGTTCAGAGGTGTCTTTGGGTATTTAAAGCACCTTGATAAATGCAGGGGTTGATTTTTTTTTCCTTTCCTTTTGGCTTTTTAGGATGTAGCTTTATTTGTGACTCCAAAATCTTAGCTAGAAAGGACTCTCATTGTTTGATATTCTTTGGTTTTACTAACTAAAAAATGTTGATTTGACATTAAAGAAGATAGAAAAATAGAATTTCTGTTTCAAAAATTGTGGAATTTCTCTTCATGCTAGTCATCCCCAAAGCATTAGTGTATTAAACTCTAGTAGAAGGAATGTTTACTGTTCAGTACAGAAAATTAGGCCAGCAAAATAATTTTTTATTTCACATTAAATGTGAATAAGCATATTCATAAAGGTAATTTGTATATGGGTGTTATCGTGATGACTGTGTGAAGTAAGGGAGGAGACAAGGCTTACAAGGCTTTCTGTTTAGGTCTCCCTCAATATATTTTTCTTTTCATTCCTCTTATTTAACAAGAAAGTCAAGGAATAGAAGACAGGCTAAATTGTCATTAGACTGTGTCTGTGTTCTTTGTCACGCCTGCCTTTCCTCTGGACTGCCTGGGAGGATGTGTGTGCTCCTTTCTTGCTTCTTGAGTAGCAGGGAGGAAGGAATGGATGCAAGGATGTGAAGATTGATCAGAAAGGCACATTATTGCACGTGAAAATGAGATGGATACATTTGACACCTGGCTAAATTTCAGCCAGGTGGTTGTCTTGCGAGAGGGGCTTGTGTGTGGAAGCTAGCAGGCCGACTGAAAAAAGTGGGGGGAGACAAGAGGCTTCCTTCATCTGGAAATCCGCAGGATCTTACTGACATTTGGCTTCAGGGAGTAGAGCTCCAAGGACACCTGTGTGCATCTGCCTGGAGATAGGTGTGTGTGTGTTGTGTGTGTGTGTGTGTGTGTGTGTGTAGGGAGAAGTAGGCATTTCATCAAAAATACATTTGAAAAATGTTGGTTCTAAAATTCAGTCGTTATCAATTCGGGCCAGGTACCAAAGTCACTAACGTGTCCAGGTTAACTCCTGGAAGGCAGCAACATTCTTGCTTTTGATGGTACGAATATGGCTTCTTTCATTTCTTTGGCTCTTTATGGTACTTCTTTTGAGTGGGGCGAGGCTCTAGCTTTCCCCTCCTCCTTTCTTGATCTCGGCAAACAAAACCATTCTACCACTTGAGCCATCTGCCGCAGGTGTAATGGATGGCAGGGGGCCGACCTAACCACACTCCAGTCTCTTCTAGGTCGTCACCGCTCTGCACCAAACAAATGAGTCCTGTTTCACCACTAGGGTGCCGAGGTGGATGGTGGATGCTGGCCCCCGCCCCTGGCAGCGCTCAGCCCTTAGAAACCAGAGCCAGCTGACAACACGCGAAACACACAGGCACAGCGAAAACGCCGAGCCGACGCTCATTCCCTCTGCCCCCTCCCTCTGCTCTCTGTAACAAGGAGGACACGTACACAGCCTTTACACACTTAAAAGCCCTTGCGACTCCCTCTGAATTCTTAGTTACTTATGACGGCCTTCCTCACTGCACATAGCCCCTGGGGTGTGTGTGTGTGTGTGTGTGTGTGTGTGTGTGTATGCGCGCGTGTGTGTGTGTACGCGCGCGCGCGCACGCGTGAATGTGCATGTGTGTTTAAAACGCTTATTGGTAGGTCATCAGCAGCTGATCAGACATGGTAATCCAATAATTTTTTTGAATACACACAATTTTTCGTTGAAGTTAATTTTTTTAAAGAAAAATGGAAAACTATTAATTTTCTGCGCAAGTCTAGGGTTCCCAGTTTAGGTTCCAGAGAACAGCAGATCTGCGCAGCCCCCGCCTTACCAAACTTTCCTTTTCTAGGGTTTGAAAGAGGCTCACATTCTCACTTCATGACAGAGCAGCGGCTCATTTGCACGCGGGTGTGTAAAGGAGGGAGCTGTCGAACGCGCGACTTAGGAAGGGAAATCGGATAGCTGGAGCCCCACGCAGTCGCTCGGAACCTTGGCTGGAGGCACAAGGTGCCCAGGGGCAAGAGCCCGGGGTCCAAGCTTCCAGGCGCACATCATCCTCTGGGCCCCGGGCCCTCCGGCTGGAGCACTCCCTCACCCGCATCCCATCCCCGTTCCATTTTGATCATTATTTGAATAGCCCAGGTAAGGGTGCCCATCTCTCGGCTATGGGCGGGGGCTGGACCCTGACAGGTACGGACTCCGCGGGACCCCAGTGTGCTTACCTCGAGCGAGGCCCTGGCAAATGGTGGCCCAGAAGCATCAAGTTTCCTCTCCCAGCCGTTGTGCCAGATTTCCCCTCCTGCCTTCTGCTCCTCTCCGCCAGCTCGTTTCTCTCTCTCTCTCTCTCTCTCTCTCTCTCTCTCTCTCTGTCACACACGAGGATTACTTGTGACTTTTAGAGGCAAAAGCTTGCTTATTCAGAGGAGAGAGGGAGGGGGAGAGGGAGAAAGGAGGCGGGAGGGAGGAGAGACGGGGGAGAGAGAAGTAAAAGGGGGATGGAGGATGAAGAGGAGGTGGAGAATCAGAAGGTAGTGCGGGCGTTGTTAGAGAAGGAGGAGGAAGAGGAGGAGGAGGAGGAGGGATGGGAGGGGTAGGGTGGAGTAACCAAAGATGGGCTGGGATGGGACGGCGAGGAATAAATTGCTCCCCACCCAGCTGCGGTGCGACGCCCCCAGCGTCCCAGGGGAGCCGGTGCGTCAGCTCACGGCTGGCCAAGGCGGGGCCGTACAAAAGCTAGCGCCGCGGGACCCCCTTCATGGGCTTCTACCCTAGCAGACCGAGCGCTGGAGGCCGCTCCACGCGCGAGCTCGAACCACGGAGGGCTCTCAGCTCGGACAAGCGTCGCTGTCTAAGAGCTCCAAGCTCCACGGAACTTTGATTTTATGCCCGGGAGCCCGGTCATCCACTTCTGCATCTCAGACAAGCGCCGGAGGCTCGTGCAGCTTCCTCGCGTCCTCTTCCTGGACGCGGGGCGCCCACCTTAGTCATAGCCCCTGGTCCCGGCACTGCTCACGCCGTCGGTTTCCCCACTGCCCAGGCTCCCTCAGCCCGAACCCTGCGTCTCTGTTCACATTGGAACACCCCCTCACCTCATCTCAGCTTGCTTTTACCGAGGTGTGTGTGTGTGTGTGTGTGTGTGTGTGTGTGTGTGTGTGTGTGTACATAGCGCGCGCGCTCTAGGCTAGAAAGAAGGTAACGAAAAAGTAGCTTCGGTCTCCTGCAGCTTGGATCCCACTACCAAGTCCGACCATATTCAGTATTTGAGATTACAGTTTGCAGCAAGGACCAAGGCAGGGGTTCACCGGATCATTTCAACTGAGTTTCAATGCAGCAAGGATTGTTTATCATTATTGCTAAGACTGACAAAAATAGGCCAAAAATAAAGAACAGTTGCATAGAAAGAAGGGACAGCATTTTAGCAGTGATCAGGAACTAAAAGTGTTTGGAATGGATTTCTCGAACAAGAGCATCCACGATGGATAAAGGTGAAAGCCGCAGACTCTCACAAAACCGTTTCAGTACGTGATGGGATTAAAAAATAGGACCATGCTTTTCAACATAGACTACCCATTAGTTCTCCGTTAAATGCACTAAACCAGCCCCATGGAATGATTACATGGCAGCCTTTTAATGTACAAACACGAGGATTCTAAAACGGATGCACACAACCCGTTTATAGAACTCCCTCTGTACACACACACACACACACACACACATTCATAAAGAGACAAAGTTTTAATACCGATACCCCACACTTGTAAATACATATTTTCTCAAACAACTACCCCTAAATACAGTAATTTTCTTCTCCATTTCCTTGCTGACCTGTGCGACATTATATTTAGAGAGTAGGCTCCCAGGATCGACATAATTCTACTTACATTCATTGTGGATGGCACGTCATAAAATGCCAGGGGGGAGGGAACCTTGAGGGGCGTGGAGAAGAAGCCTTTTATTAACAATTATATTCTCCCTTAGCAGTTTAAATAATAACAATGATGTCACGGTAACCATCTCCCTTCTCCCACTCCAGTGAAACCACTAGATGGGTTGGTGAACTGTACATTTGTATACTTAATTAAGGGATTACTGTTGCTACACAGTTACAAAGGTGGCATAAGGAATCTCTGAACGGTAGATTGCGGGACATTTGGCATGTTGTAGGACTCACTTACCTGCCAAATCTTATTTCAGAATAAGAATGATAAAATGTTGTTAGTTTGTGCCCAGCATAGTTTTGAAGGAAAATGGAACAAAAAGAAGTTGCTCCTTGAAAATTATGTTAGTTGTAGGAAAAAAAAATCCTCTCAGCGGAACGAGCCGGTTACGCACTGTATTAAATGAGGATCATATTTTACCAACCCAGGTGGTGTTTTAAAAATTCTTTCAGGCAACAGTGATAAGAGAGGAAGCAAAGAGCACGCAGACCCCCGCCCAGCCCGCACCCGTGTTCCCAGTGTCTGGAGCACACACTCTAAACACATCGGGACCCCCACCCCCATGAATTCGCCCTGTTTGAGACTCAGTTTCTGAGGCCAAGAGTTCGTTCTCGGTGGATCGCTACACGTTGAAAAATGGATATTTGTGTAAGGTCAACATTCAGGCTATAGTACGATGGCATGGTGGAGAGAAAACACTTTTCATTGTTTAACAGTTACTAAATAATTAAACTGCCCTGCATATTGAATATCATTTTTGAGAGTTTCCCTTTTTTTCTTTAAAATTATTCGCCAGTGTTTTAATGAGGCCTCAGGATTGGGTTGCACGGAGGAAAGTGAGGGGTTCAATAAGGTACAGCTTTGATATACAGAACAATTATATAAAAGAAAGTAATTTATTATTGAAGAGGACAAAAGAAATTTGGGTTTATGTTTAAGTAGAACTTAGCAGTTGCAAAACTATGTTTTAAACAGACAATTTGATAATTTGCCTTTCTTTTTTCCCCTCTTAAACCATTTACAACCTGGGAAATTTACACTTGTTAACTAGTAAAACACCTGAAGGCTTGAATTAGACACCAAGTAGCCGCTGATGTCCCAACAACGTACAACCTGCCCCTCTGGAAGGTGTGGAATCTTTTATAAGTACTCAAGAAAAGCCCCCAAAGCTCAACTAGGTTCTATGGTGCCGGCACTGAGGAGTGTGCTTTAAGGTTATCAGTCTTATAAGCACCACGTGATTAGACAGGAAAGGTAACTTGAAAACACAACCTGATTCTGAGCGAAATCATTTTGTCCTGTTGGCATGAAAATGTAGTTACACCTCCAAGTTCTGCTCAGGAACAGACGGCTGCGTGTGGGGGCTGGTCCCTACCCAGATCAGTACAGGATCTTCAGCTGGCAGACGAGATCCAGCAAATGGAATTCACGAAGAAACTCATGTGCGTTTGGAAAAAAAGGTGGGGGAGAGTGCTGCTTCCTGATTCCTTTCGCTGAGGTCTCCTGTGATCATCAATGGCTTTGGCAACAGCAGGGAAGGCAAAAATAATTCACCACCAAACAGTTTTGACCATGACATATTTAATGGGGCTAGTTTGAACTTTGTTTTTAAAAATTTCCTGGCAGATGTTAGTATTCTCCCTGCTTATCTCTTACAATATATTTTTTTAAATGTCATTTATAGGTAGCCATTGCATGGCATTGTGCTACAGTTAACACACAGGTACTGGGGCACTTCAGGCCCATGTAAATATCCAGTGTAAAGGATTCACCAGCTTTCCTGGCAGCAGCCTCTGCAAATGGAAGCTACTCCAGAAAGAGACATTTTTATTTGTATAGTTGTTACTCAAGTCGTTATAGGTGTGAGTTTTGGGCTGAATTCACGAGTCCAAATTAAGAAGTCTGGATACATGACACATCACCTGTAAATAACCATGTAGACACCAGCCTCTTTTGCCACAACTCTCCAAATGTTTGTTTTAAATCTTCTTATCACCTTTAATGAGTGCTCCTTTTAGAACTCAACTCAGAGACTCAAATTTAGTCTTTGAATTGGTACTTTAAAAACTATTCTCTTTTATCATTTAAAAGTAAGCCTACTCCCAAAATTGAGCGTTTCACTTTTAAGGCTCAAACACTTCCTTAGGTCTCTACAAAAGTCTCTTAGGTCTCTTCAAACCAGCCCTTAGCATCAAATTCCATCATGGCAGTAATTTGGTACTCACAAGTAAACTGACAGTTTGGAGAGGGAGATGTTATCATTTCTCAGTTTTCTTTTGTATCTAATAAAATGGAGACTGACTGTATGAAATTCCCTTCCAGAGCTTACCAAAATTGTTTTTTAAAATTCTCCTGGACGAGAGCCCCGTGGTCTTGCAGCTTAGAAGGGGTTCGGGGGGCTCCGTTTGGCTAATTTTTAGAGAACTGCTTGGCGGAGGCTGCTCGCAGGTAACGCTTCTGAGATGAAGGCGGGGCTCCCTGTCGCCTGCAAGGGTATTTTACCTAGAATGTCCTGATTTTGGGTCCAAACTCACACTCTCCCACACTCGTGGGGTGATAGGTAGGCTAATAAAAGGCAAATAGTAATCAGAAGGGAGCCCCACAGTTTCTACCAGAGGGGTTTTGGCCAGAAAACAAAGAGAGCAGGGGCTGCTCACTCCTCGTCCCCTGCGCCTGAAATTCAGGTCGCCTGCAGCTACGGCCTCAGGTGAGTGGCTCAGGGAAGGGTCGCTGAGGCTCTTCCCAGGGCCCCCGGGCCTCTCTTGGGCCGCTCCCTGGGAGTGCTTTAACCTCTGCCGCCATTCCGCTTCGTCTTTTCCTGCAATAACACCTGCTGCCACGGATTGAGTACACCTGACCAGATGTAGTCAAAATAAAAGGTCAAGAAAAGAAAAGGAAAGCCCCACCTTTCTTAATTCCGTTTGGAAAGAGCCAGAGCTGCCAAATCCATTACATAATGCCAGTTCAAGCTGACACCTGTGCCTGCCCTGGAGCTAGATCAGGTTCTGGCGACTGCTCCAACCTGGAACGCCGGCTCAGTAGCGCCCAAGCCGAAGGCGAAGGGGAAGAGGAACGAAGTGTGGGATGGGGGGCGGCCCCTCATTGGGGGTTCAGGTAGGGATTGGATTCTGCAGGGAATGCTCCAAGGGTTGCTCCCTAATAATTTGGGACTGCGATAAAAAAAAAATAGCCGCAGTTTCGAAGTCCCAGAGCTTTATCAGGAAGCATTGGACGCCCCTTTCTCCTCCAGACTGGGGCGGGCTTCCAGGGATGCCCCCTCCGACCCCGTCACCAGCGGAGGACTCATCTGCCGCGGGGCTGCCGGAAGCTCTCACTCCCGCCAGCCCCCTGGGTGCTATTGATGCGGACCTTGGAGGTGCCTGCGGCGTGGCCTAACACGTGGACGCGGCCCATAACCCGCCCCGGCTGCTGCTTTCGCCTGAAGGCGGACAATGGCTTTATTAATCGGCCATCATTAAACTAACCCAGGAGAAGCCCCATCCCGCAATGAGGGCGCGGCAGGCTAATTTTGCCTACGGCTGAACAGTTGGGGCAAACGGTGGTTAACACGCTGGATCCCTCTCTAGTGAAGGCCCGACCGTCCCGATCTTTGGGGTCCGCACCAATGATCCCATGAAAAACAAAGGTCAGTCCCCAAACTCCTAGGAATCCACACTGTTCCTCTCCAAACTTCCTGCTCCCCGCTAAGGCAAAAGACCCCGAGCCTTGTAAACCCTTTTGTCAGAACGCGAATTAATGTTTCCAAGATTTTTTCTCAAAAGAATTAAGAGCTCTAGAGGCGCCTCTTCCACTCACTAGGGCACCATGTCAAAGGGACTCGTCATGGCGATTTACAAATATCACGATCGTGGACAGCGCTATTGGAATGTAACTTGGGCTTGGTTTCATGCAGTCCTTAAGGATTTCGTTGAGGCCCTGGAGACGTGACTAATTCCTCCCAGTCCATAGTGGGAAATGCTTATTGGGCTTTGGTTGAGATAAAATAAAATAAAATAAAAGCTAGACCCAAAGCTTCGTGTGGACCTTAAACACACACACACACACACACACACACACGCACAATAAGCAAGAGTCAGTGACCTTCTCTGGACATCGCAGCCACCCCCCTAGCTCCCGCGTTAAAATCACCAGAGTCAATTCCCGGCGTCGGTCTCCACAGTCAACCCCCGCCCCTTCCCCATTTCTCATCAAAAGGCAGGAGAAACGTCATATTTTATATTTCTTTTCTCCACATCTGGGCATTTTCTTGTGCATCATATCCTAAACAAATATTCTCCTTTTACATTCGTGTGCGCCTAGGACGGTGTGGACCTGCGCCCCTCTTCCCCGTAGCGACCGTGTTGGAGAAACTCGCTCGGAGGACCAGTGTGCTGCGGGGGCCAAAACTCACGCTGCCCAGCCTTGAAGAGCTGGAGAACGGAGCCGGGCCCCGCCGAACCTGCGCTCGCAGAGAATGTTATCTTCACAGCAACTTAGCAAGCCCCACAGAACAAAAGTTAAAGCGTGATTGCACTATACCTTGCCCCGGGTTACTCAGGCGCCTGTCTCCCATTTTGGACATGCAGGAAATGTTGGATTTGGGGAGGTTTGATTTGGCTGGGTTTGGTTTGTCTATATAAGCCCTGCTGGAGTACTGTACTGAGGAACGCGCCTTGATGGACTCGGGTGTTAATTAACGCGCTAATTTGAGCTTCAGGAGCGGGAGGCGGCCGGTAGCACCGCGAGCCGCGAGGGGCCAGTGACCTCTAGTGGACATGAGGAGATATGCAGCGCGAGTGAGCGTGTAGCAGAGAAAACTCTTTCCTGAGCAGCTGCTCGCGTGTCTCCTCTGAATCCAATGCAAGGGAGGGACACAAGTCCCCAATTTAAGGGAGAAAGAGCCGTCAGCAAGTGGTGTCGACCAAAGACCTTAGCTCTTCTGATGTATCTGAAATCTAAACGCAATTTAAGCGCGCGTGCACACACACATTGTTACTTATCAGTTTTTCCAGCGAGAGAAGAACATATGGAAAGGGTTTGAGAAGTGAGCGTGAATAACTTTGGTTTCTGAACCTAGAGAAAAGCAGGGCTTTCAAAGCTCCGGAGGCACCAGCGATTCAGGGGAAGGAGTCGGAGTGTGATTCTGTAAACAAAGTTCATCAGTACTCCCAAGATTTTTTTTTTTTTCTGTAAAGAATTGAGAAAAAAAAAACGTAAAAAGCTTAGTTGGGTCAACAACAAGAAAGTAATCGAACAAATGATGTGTGGAAAGGTCCAGATGCTCCTGAGTTCACACCCCTCAGGCAAATAAGAAGACAAAAATAAGAACAAAAGAACCCCTTCGCTTAACAAAAATAAAATAAAGGCCAAGAGGAGAAAATGATCTGTTTTGGTTTTTTAACCTTCATTTATTTCATTGGTTAGTTAAACTACTGCAGAAATTTTTGGAAAGATCGTCCTGGTGCTTCTGCAAGCGCCAAAAGCAAACCATGGACCTGATAGTTCAGGCAGAATACCATTTTTTAAAATAAACCAAAGTCTGTATTTTATCCTTCCCCATTCCACAGACCGCAGCAGACTGTGGAAGCTGGCGAGGCCCAGTAGAATCCCGCGACCCCACAGCCTCAGCGCTCAGGGTTCCACGGTCCAGTACAGGCTAAACTGACCTCGCCGACGGCCGCGCCCACTTGGGCACTTCTCCCGGGTCTTGTTCTACGGGCGTTTGAGGATTTCTTAGTCTCTTTCTTCCCTGGCACTCTTCCTCCGAGGCCAGAAGTCTGAATTACTAGCAGCTACCAGCCGCTTGGAGCGGGAACGTGGAGGTGATCCCCTCCCCGGGAGTAGCCTGTCCGTCCCAGCTCTCCTCCCTTCTGTGCCTGGCGGTTTTGCGGTACCCGAATCTGTCCTCAAGGGTTGGGGGAGGGGTGGATATGGGGGGATCAGAGACATTACCTTTTCCCAAACTGTGAGCACAGCCCGCTTGGGGTTGGTTTCACATCGCTCAGGACTGGGGTTCCACGCCTGGAGCGCAGTTACCTTGTTGCGCCCGCATGTGCCTCGGGAAGTGCATCTGCGACCCTAGGTCGGGGACCACCGCGTTAGTGAGGGACAGCCGAGTCGGGGGGCAGTCTCCCCTGGTGGACAGTATGAAGTTTGGACAGCAGGGGAAGGAAGAGAGGAACTGGAGGTTGGGGGAGGCTAGAGAGCAACGTTTGCTCTCTGAACTTTTCCTTCTCCCCTTTGCGCCTTCTGAAATGGCCTGGGAGTTAGCAGAGGTCGGGAAGCTGCTGTAAGAGCGAAACGTTGCCCCACTTGGCGGTGTCCAGGTCTCGCAGTAGGCTCGGGTCACAGGAGGGAGGGGGTAGGGGTTCAGCTCCGCCGAAAGAGTTAGCTACCGTCCCCTCCTTTCTCGGCCGGAGACGTTAAGAGTTCCCGGTGAATGACACCGTCCAGGGTCAGAAGTCAGTGGTGGCTATACTCGGAATAAGGCTGACAGTTCGCAGTGAGGGAAAACGTGTAACCTGGCAGGATGAGGAACACGCAATGAAAATGAACCCAGGGAAACCAAAGATTTCTAAGAGCTGTATTTTATTGTGGTCCAAAGAAAGGACTGAGAGCTGCTTAAGGGAAACAGCATTTATAAAGCCCAAACATTAAATATATATTGCAACAGAAATACAATCTTAATGGAGATAACTGAATTGTAATAGTTTAAGAAACGGTCTTTTCAGAAAACTAAACAGTGAGCAAAACAATGTTCAATTTTAAAACGCCCAGACGTGACTCACACACAGCAACCGCCTATGGGAGAGCAGTAGTTTTCCTTGACCTTCCCTACACTGCGCCCCGGGAGTTCCCCGTAACCCCAGAGCAGAAAAATTCACCAACTTTGGAATCTAGTCAGAAAAACAAAACAAATAAAACCGTGCGGACCCCCAAGCAAGGATTCACTAACATTCCTACCGGCCTTGCTTAACCTCCATGCCCCCGGGAAGTGGCGCGAATCACTCTTGGCACCACTTGGGGCGCACAGAAAGGACCCACCTCCTGTTGGCCAGGCAACCGCACACCTGAGGCAAGAGGACCAGAAGTGGAGAACAAACTGCTCAAGTTCCAGCAGTCTCCAAATCAGAGTCCCTATTATCTTGGGCCCTTGCAAACTTGAGCACTCACCTTTGGCCACGTAGCTGCCCCTTTTCACCCTGCCAGCAGAAACAAAGTGAACGCTCTTCTTTTCTCTGTAAGCTGGAAATTACCAAGGGCATACTTGAGCCTACCAGGCCCCGAGGACCCCATTTCAGGCCCAAATGTGCCAGTTTTACCCTTGCTGAGAGTGCTCACTGCAGTCTTCATCAACCAACTTCTAAGTGGGTGTCAATGAGGAGCAGCCTCACGCTTTTTCTGCAGAGAGAAGGTAGAGAGAGATGAGGGCTTTCGGTGTGGCCCTGTGACCCCAGGCTACTATCCCAGGCTATGGCACGTCTTCGCCAGAAAAGCAGCGACCGAGTTATTTCCCTGTTGACAATGCCCAGCAGCCGGGCCCTGTTATTATAGGGGTTATTAGAGGGGTCGCCTTCTTCTCTAATGGTTCCTGTTCAGGGTTTTCCCCCAGTAAGATTTAGAAAAGACTGGACTAAAACACTTTACCTCCCAGAGTCTCTTAGAACATGGCCCCCGAGTCGTCTCCCCTACACTCCCCCTCCCACCCCTACCCTGTTGTCCCTCAGCTGATGGTGCGGATGGAAAGACTCAAAGACAGACAAGAACCCCCCACCAGCCCCCACCCGCTGGGAACAGGACCGACAATCTTTCCCACTTTCTTGTGGAAAATTTTCACACGTACACACAAAATCTGGAGTCCGAGATAATAGGTGATGAGCCGTCCTGGGAACGGTGTCGCAGGCTGAGGATGTCCAAGACCTGGCGAGTCTCGGGTCAGAGGAGCCGGAGGGGGCGACCCGAGGCCCCGCGCCCCGGCTCTGCGCTGGGGGGTGGTGCTGGCTATTTCTCTCTGCTCCCAACTATTACATTTCTTTTTTCCTTCATCTTGGCTAGAGTTATACGTTTTATGTGTGGGGCGATTTAGAAAATAAAATTGGACTATATAAGCTATTCTATATATAAAAAAGAACCCGAAAAGCCTCGCGTTTTTTCTCTTGTGTTTTCCTCACTTTTCTTTTTCTCAAACTGCAAAATTTTAGTGCCTGAATGGCGAATGGGGAAAAGGACTGGCCGGAGAGTGAGGCACGGAAGGGAGGTCTGAAAGTGAATTTTTCAATGCCTAGTTTACCCTTGATGTCGCATTCCATCTTAAATGGCCACTATGATGATAATCTGAGCAGTAATATTAGTCGATTTTCCTGCTCTACAGTGCGGCTTGGAGAAGTCTTGGGAATCAAACGGCATGAACTTAGATTCCTGTTACACAACTTTTCAATGAGGGAGGAGGATATCGAATACCTCACTCAGTCTTCGGGAATGGAGCCTTCAAAAACACTTTTGTGAGGCCGGGCGCGGTGGCTCACGCATGTAATCCCAGCACTTTGGAAGGCCAAGGCGGGCGGATCACGAGGTCAGGAGTTCAAGCCTTGCCAACATGGTGAAACCCCGTCTCTACTAAAAATACACAAATTAGCTGGGCATGGTGGCGCGCGCCTGTAATCTCAGCTACTCGGGAGGCTGAGGCAGGAGAATCGCTTGAACCGGGACCCGGGAAGCAAAGGTTGCAGTGAGCGGAGATCGCGCCACTGCACTCCAGCCTGAGCTACAGAGCGAGACTCCGTCTCAAAAAAAAAAAAAAAAAAGAAAGAAAAAGAAAAAAGAAAAAAAAAAAAGAAAGAAAGAAAAGAAAGAAAAAACCCTTGTGAGCCGCCTAAAAACCGTCCTGTGAGCATCTCATCCCCACACTGGCGCTGCCACCCGCACGGACCTTCCAACTTCGCACTGTTCCATTTTCTCTATGTGCTTTTCAGCCCATCCTTGGAGTTGCTCTGTAAGAAGGACTTTCGGAGTGAAACTCCACAGTGCGGTTCAAAGACACGCTTAGGATGCCCCGGGATGGAGAGAGGACTGAGCTTGGACTGGAATTCCTGGAACAGACGAGGGCTTGTGAGCTTGTCCCAGGCACTGAGGACAGCATACTCTTCCCGACAAGGGCATCTGGGTCGAGAGAAGGTGGAGCGGGTCTTCGGCAAAGGCGAAACCCTGGAGAACGCTGCCCCACCCCACCCTGTAAGCGTGGACGAGTAATAATCTCCCGGCCTCAGTTTCCACCCTCTGCTTATATCAATTTTAAGAAGCTTTATTTTTTCTAAGATGATTTTCCCTACATATTTCTTGTCTCCCTCACTGCCATTCCCGCCCCTCCCCCCCAAAATACATTGTAAATCTTTTTCCTCCTACGGTTAATTTTAAAGAACCACAAAAGTTTGCATAAGACAGAATTTACCTGCCCATATATTTCTGTTGAAGGTGGAAAATTGTTTTTACGTGGCAAGTTTTATTTCTATTGATTTCTAAAAATTTTATCTGGAAAGAATTTGGCTCATGAGCTAAATAATATAGTTACCATTTGCTTAATAATTTTTAAGCTCTAGGCATTGAGGTAAATGCTTTATATATTTTTTCTTAGTCTGAGAACAACCATGTAAAATAGGGTTTTTCCTTCTGTTTTTCTTCCTCCCTCTCTTCTTTCCAATTTGAAAACTGAGGCAGAGACATTAAATGGCTTTCACAAAGGTATAGAGCTAGTAAGTAGCAGAGGCAGAGTCTGAACACAACTACCAACCGCTAAGTGGAAGCTCTTAGCAGAGGTCAGCCGAGTTTTCAAGTGAGGCTATAACTGCTGAAGAGTAGCCCTTCAACCTATGGTACTTGGTTGCCCATTATAAAGGAAAGCTGTGTAGTAATTTGACTTTTTATACCTTAAGAAATAATCACGGCAAAAAAAAACCCTAAAAATAATCTTTAGCTGTTAAGCAATCATCATATTGCTAGTTGTAGTGCTGTTATTCATATTTTGCAACTGTTTATATATTATGAGATAAAGCAAGTAAGTCATTATATTGGTGTCTTACAGAACTGAAATTTTTCATTATAAGTAAAAAGGAGATACAGGTGGAAGATTATTGAAATCAAATAAAAATCTTATAGCCCTGGAAAGAAAAAAAAAGGAAAGCTATGGTTAAGAAGCAAGAGTAGAAGCTGTGAGTAGTTACTACCAGTACAGAAAGCTTGAAACAGACTTGTATTCCCACCCCAATCAATGCTTCTCACAGGAGCACATTGAATCCTCTGTTATGTTAATTCTGGCAATCTCTATGTCTTCTGGGTCCTACCATCAAACCTCTGAAAGCAATTCAAATATTTTGCCACTCCCTTTGACCATTTATTTTTTAAATCTGAGATTAGAATTGTGGAACACATAGTGGATTGATATAAAGAGGAAAATCAAGCACCAGGAATAAAGATTATAAAAGAGTTAGCTCCTTGAAGGTTGTTGGTAATAGACCAATCATGCCAACATAAAAAAATTAAATACTACTTTAATGAAATTTCATACTTTTAATAAATTACTTTCATCTTGTTAGTTCTGATCTAGAATATCTTTGTATTTAACATAAATGAGATAAAATTATAAAGAGATTCATCCTCTATTTTCCATTATAACATGCATAAAGTAAGATTTCAAAAATTTAAATAAATGTGTCAGAATATTCATGGAAAGTATTCAGCTGTGAGATTATGTACTTATTTGAATAAAGTGTCTTTTTACAATATATTTGGATTCTTCTATTTCTCCACTTCCTCCTTTTTTCCTCCTCTCTCATCCTCATTTTTCTCCTCCTCATCCATTTTCCCTTTCTCTTCCTCCCATTCATTTTGTCATTGGAATCTATTTCTGAGACACATGAGAAAATGAACCTCATTAGTTTATTTTTTCCTTAAAATGGTATTTTTGAAAAAAAAAAGCAGAAGATGTCACCTTCAACTGAGGATGATATGCCAATTTGAATAGCATATCCTCTGACTGTTGCAGACATTCAGAACTATGTGTGCCATCCCAAAGAAGGTCTTCAATGGCAGCTATTTTTTAAAATGTTGTTTTACAGTCACATTCGATTTACTATTAGATTATCCTCGAATTAAAATAGCTGATACCATAATACTAAATACTAACATTTTAAAGCTATTGTTATGATGTGTTTACCATTGCCATTACTTTTAAAACCAAGGAAAGCACAGTCTGGTAAGACACAATCAGCAGTGAGATACAATCACAACACCACATAAGAGAAATGTAATGTATCATAGCTAGCCCTAGAAAAATAACATTCATCTGCTTTGTAATCTCTCAGATTCGATTGCAGCAAGGAAATATTTATACTTTCATGCAAAAACACATGAGAACCACGGTTTAGAATGGCTAAAATTTTGAGCAAAAAATAGTTTTGTCTTCATCACGTATTGTGTATTGAGCTTTTTTTGTTTTTCTCCTTCATCAACAAACTTAGCTTACCTTTCTTCTAATCTTTGAGGGCCCTGCTCTTTGCTTCCCAAGGTAATGACTGGGTCATTTGATAAAATGAGCCTAGGCTAATGTATTGATGGTTATAAATGTGTTAATGTGCAAATCTTTGGCCACAATTCCTTCAAGCTTTTCAAATCAGATATGAATCTTAATGAACACGTTTGGAGGGAATACTCTTTGTTGTCTAACTTTAGTAAGGGGAACATAATGGTACTACATAAACTCACTCTTTTAAGGCTGGCCTGTCATAAATGCTTAAATACTCATCAGTGCAATTATGAAGAAAGCCCATTAGGGAAAGAATTGAAACCTAGCATATCTGGAACATAAGATAGCTGAATTTAAAAAAAATAGCTAAGACAGCTTTAAAATTTAGACAGTAGAAGACCCATTTATAATTCTTAGACATTAATTTTAAAAGATCATTCAATGACAATTTAAATTATTGGGCTTGTGCTAGAAAGAAGACTACTCTTCTCCTATGTTGAAACCACATTCACCTTTCTGTCCCCAGAACACTTGCTTCTTCCCTTTATAATTGGTGTTCTCTATGCCTGGAACACTTCCCACAGAAATTAACATGATTGCATGCTCATTGCATTCTCAGGAAGCATTCCTAGGCCAAACTAGCTCAACCCATTACCCCATCACTCTCTACCACATTTGTATTTTAAAAATAGAATCTGTAATAATCTGAAAGAGCTTTGTTTCTATATTCGTTTACACTTTTAAATATACTTCTATTACAGGAACCACCAAGAGGTCAGGGACTTTGCCTGCCTTACTCATTACACAGCAGATACTCAGTAAATATTGAATAAATGATTAAATATGTCTATTTGTGATATAGGTCATCTTTTGGATATCTCGATCATTAGCCATTCTTCATTTGTATATATTATGCATACAAAAAAAGCACCAGTTCTGTTTTGTTTTCTAGTAACAATACATTTCTTAACCAGAAGCTAAAGTGGTTTGGGATAAGGCAGAACCTGGTTTAGAAATTAATGCAGAGAAATAGCTAGTTGGAAAGAATACTTGCTACGTACACCATTTCTTTTAGAAGACAACTTGCTAGTAGCAAGGGATTGTGTTATGCATAGATTTTACAAAATATCAAGACTACAGTAATCACTGAATACTTGCATTCATTTATTCATTAATTCAGCAAACATCCATAGTATGGCACTCTATGGTTGGTGCTGTGCACACAAAAATAATTAACATGATTCTCTCACAAGTTAGAGGTACAGTGACAGTCACCATCCTTTTAGGTAAAACTGCAAGCAGGAAAAATAAACTGCAGTGCATCTAGTCATTTTTCCATTTGCTTTCATTTCCTTCCTTCTTTAGGCACCCTTTGTATCTGGCTCTCCTTGTTTCTTCAATCAACTGTAGAAAAGTATCTGATAAAATTTCATACTAAAGTGTAAGAGATTTATATTGGCTATGTCCTAGAGATATTTACTTTATATCAAATTAGAAAGCAAATGAGAAACTCTCTAATTATGGACTTTCCAAACCAGACAGGAGAAGGTAAAATTATTTTTAAAGCCGCTGTTCCTGAAATCACACCGCCTAGGAAACTGATTAATTTGTTTATTCATTAACTTTGAGAACTTCACATTGAGCAACAAAAGGAGTCTTCTGTAAGATATAATTGGTGAGACTCCATGGACACTTCTAAAACTAAGTAAGTTCCTTCAATGCATTTAACATTTGGAGGGAGGATACTTTTGGTGTGTTCCTTTCTCTTTTTTTTTCCCTTTCCTTCTTTTCTTCCTCCCTTCTTTTTCTTTCCTCCTTCTCCTTTCTCCTCATCCTCTTCCTGATCCTTCTCCCCCTCTTGCTCTTCCTCCTTTTTTTCTTCCTTCTGCTTCATTTTTGCTCTTACTTTCTCTCCTGGAAATCCTGAAGATATGAGGAAATGTTGTAAGAAAAAAAAAAAGAAGAAAGGGATTTTCAGGACTTAGCCAGCATGACCAGGCAGTCAGAGGCAATGAAGAAATTACTTGGAAGGAATAGGTTGGTGTTGGGGTCTATTCAGTTGTTGTCCTCTCCTTTTGGCCTGACTAGGGAAATAGTGATAGAAGTGGGGTATTTCCTAAGCTTAGATGCTTGAATTATTCATTAGTCTAAAGTAAATTAACATTTAGAGGCAGGTGACACACATTTTCTTGAACAATTATTATCACTAATCATCATTTTCCACAGTAATTTGTATGCTCTCATTATTAGCTCTTGATTTCTATGTAAATCCTTTCCATAAAACTGCCACAAGATGGAAGTTTTTTTATTGGCTCTCTTTACCTCTTGATATATTTCTTGGCATTTTGGCATTCCTCATCTGGCACTTGATGGCTGGGTTTTCAGATTAGGCTGACTGTTGACATGCCCATATAAAACATTCTTTCATTGAGCATATTGCATTTATACAGGAGGCCACCTTGTCCCACCTTCTGCCATATTGTGCCCATATTTTTTTATGTCAATTGTCCAAACATTGACTCTCACATTTTCCCCCTTTTGATTTTTCATTGTGCACCACATTTGACACTTTAACTACTTTTACTAGTTGTCCATGCCTTGTCACAAAGACTGAAACTGACACAGGTTTTGCCTAAACAGTTGCCTTGAATAAGTACATTTGTCATATGGATATCCCCTTCAAATCCTTTAGAACACCTTGGATACTTTTCTGCTAATCTTTTCTTACAGTTATTTGGGCTCCAGGACTCAGCTACGTGAAGGGAACTATCATTCTTTGTAACAGTTATTTCATACCAACAGTAAATTTTTAAATAAACCCCAGAAAGTGTTCTTGAGATTAGCTAGTTCATGGCAGCCTGTGGCTTGTGTCCCTGTCTGGCTCCTGAGGGAATGATCCAGTTTGATTGAAGAATTGCTGATAATTCTACTAAATTGAAAGAGTTCCACTTTGATCTAATATAATATCTAAAATTTTTACCTTTAGAATAAACCTCATTATACTGGTGAGGAGAGGGATGGACACCCTAGAAAGAGTCAATGCATTAATTTCCAGCATTTACAGGTTAAGTGACACTTAATAAATCATTGAAGAGTCGCTTAACCTGTGAATGAGACCCGTAAATGAAACCATCTCATTCAAGTCCTGGCTCTCTGATTTACCAATGGGGTGACCCTATGGCAAGTTAATTCATCCTATGCCTCAATTTTTCTCACCCATAAAAAAGCTTTACTGATTGTGCCTATCTCACAATGTTGTTATGAGGATTCAATGAGTTAATGCCTGAAAACCTGAAATTAGTGCCTGGCATCTAGTAAGTACATCTAGTGTCAGCAAAGACTGTGATGATGATGGTGAGGATGGTGGTACATGAATAGTTTTCCTGGAACAAAAAAGGATGAAGCCTTAGCAAAATGGACACAAATATATAATTTTTTTTATCTCCAAAATTGGGTAAGAATGGTCTGAAGAACAGGTGATATTGTTTGGATATTCGTCCCCAGCCAAATTTCATGCTGAAGTGTAATCCCCAAAGCTGGAGGTGGGGCCTGGTAGAAGGTGTTTGGATCATGGGAGTGGATCCCTCATGGCTTGGTGCTGTCTTCATGATAGGGAGTTCTAGCAAGATATGGTCACTTAAAAGTGTGTGACACTCCCACTCCTGCACCAGCCCCACTCTCTCTTGCTTGCTCCTGCTGTTGCCATGTGACTTGACTGCTCCTCCTTTGCCTTTTCCCATGATTGTAAGTTTCCTGAGGCCTTCCTAGAAGCCAAGCAGATGCCAGCACCATGCTTCTTGTACACCCTGCAGAACCTTGAGCCAATTAAACTTCTTTTCTTTATAAATTACCAGTCTCAGGTATTTCTTTATAGCAATGCAAGAACAGCCTAACACAACAGATATTTCCTGTGGAGAGCAGGCCTAGGTAAGTATCTCTAAGAGAAAGTCCTAGGTAGCCCCAACATCCTCACATGGCTGAGGAATGTATTGTGCCTGATCCTTCACAAGTGTTCAGGGCAAACGTTGTGACTAAGCTCCTGCAACAAGCATTCATTGTTAAAGACTCTGAAGAGAAGGTGGTTTAGTGAAGGGGTTGAGTGACTTTTCCCTAAAGAAGCTTTGCAGCCTTAGCAGAGCTATGCTTTTCATGACCCCTTTCTGGAACCAATTTCATGGTTACAAATTATGCACGAACATCTCCAGTTGGTTTCCTACATTAAAAATACTGCCTCAGTTTTAAATTTTACCTGAAGGCTGGTTACACCAAGCTCTTACCTGTCATATTTTTAATGCATTAAGTCTGTATTCTGGCTCATTGTTGAGTCTTGTCATTTTGGCCAGAAAATGTAACTGCAGTGCTACTGACATTGTCCTAATGGTGTCTTTACATAAAATACAATTTTCTTAAACAAGGAAGAAAAGCAGCTTCAAGATCAGTGACACCAACACTGTAAAGTAAGGGTTTTAACTTCAAGACCTATTCAAACAGTTATCTGTGTCAGCATACGTGTGTGTGTACACACACACACAGACTTCAGAGACGCAGGCAGAGAAAAACACAGGATAACATTCCACATCATTGTGAAGCTTCCAGAAGTATGAAGCTCAGGAGTACGTCAACAGAGAGTACTGTTACCATATCCAACCTGCTCCTCCTCCTTTTGACATTTCTAAAGAAGCAAAGGAGCTCCTGCTGTTCAGGCACTGCAGGAGAGGAACGTACACTAGCTGTGCCCAAAGGGGTTTGCATTGTAAGCTGGATGAAAATAACTTCTCTATCTTTTCTTGGAAGATTATTTTTTTGTCCACATAAAATAAACACAACAGAAAAACATGTCATTTCAGGAACATAGTGTTTCACAGACCCCTAAGTCATTGCCATCACAATTTAAAAATCAATTCTGGCGTGCTGAATTGAAAAAACTGGGAAGAACCAGTTAGAAGAGGTATATAAATATAAAATCTAAATGTAAGAAACAACACAGGAGGCTGAGGCAGGAAGATTGCTTGAGTCAGGAGTTTGAGATTACAGTGAGCTATGACTGCACCACTGCACTTCAGCCTGGGTGACAGAGTGACACTCTGTCGCTAAAAAAAAAAAAAAAAAAAAAGGAAAGAAAAGAAACAACAACAACGCAGTCATTAATACACAATAGGTAAGTTTTCCTTGATCCGATGTCTTTGTTTTTAGAAAAATGTTACACATTTAATTGAAGTAAATAAAGAAAATAACCTGTAGTATTTTGCACACTAAAAGCCTTGATTTTTGAGTAACTTTTAAGTATATGTTTTGAGTATATGTTTGAGTAACTTTTAAGTATATGTTTTATTTTAACCTAGAGTTCACTTTGATATTACTTATGACAATCCACATGTTACTGCTATTGCTATCATATAAGCTACTTGGTTCAGTTGGCAGAAGAGGGGAAGTAAATTAGCCAAAGTGTATGGTTGGACTCCTGTCCAGTAAGGACTAGTTGGCTTGGCTCTCTGCCAGAGCAACAGATTATATTTCTAACTCTTCTCAACAACAGAGGCTATTCCTTTTTTTGTTTGTTTGTTTGTTTGAGACGGAGTCTCACTGTCGTCCAGGCTGGACTCCAGTGACGCGATCTCGGCTCACTGCAAGCTCCGCCTCCCGGGTTCAAGCGATTCTCCTGCCTCAGCCTCCTGAATAGCTGGGACTACAGGCGCCTGCCACCATGCCCAGCTAATTTTCGTATTTTTAGGAGAGATGGGGTTTTGCCATGTTGGCCAGGCTTGTCTCTAACTCCTGACCTTAAGTGATCCACCCGCCTAGGCCTCCCAAAGTGCTGGGATTACAGGTGTGAGCCACAGCGCCCAGCCAATAGGGTCTATACTTTAAAAAATTATTTTATTTTCCGAAATACCAAAAATCATGCTGTTCTGCACCTAGGATTTAACAACTATTTGCTTAGGGAAGAAAAAAAGCAAAGAGAACATCACAGTCATCTCTGGGTCATCTCTCGGTCATGTCCTTTGGTTACAAATGGCTGACAAGATCATCTTCTGTTTCTCAGCCATTATCTTCTTTTCATGGTCAAGTCTAACAGAATTTACACACCCAGTTACCTGAGAACTTAGTAAAAGTTACTTCAAACTTTTTTGCTATGTTGTTCCTATTTCTCAGATACATGTATTTTATAATAGAAGAATAAGAAACTCATCAGTCAACTATTTCAAAATCCTTAATATTCAGCATTAAAGGACACTAATCTGTAGGGGAAAATGCAAATGAACACATAAGAACATGTAATTCCTTCTTCCTCCATTCTTATTTAACCTCACATTTATGTGTAGTAATGGTGTACGAAATTACAAGTTATCTAGTTAGTACCTGATTCATTAACTTAAGATAGTTGAAGATTCTAACTTGCTTTAATATTTTTTTTTTAAGCCAACTTAAAGCACTCTGGCTTCTTTCAGCTTATAGAGAGATGTTCTTGCTGGTATAACAAACTTATATATTAAATTAGCTGAAATGCTCTCAAACTAGTCCTCAAAGGGGCTGGGTAAAACAACAGGAAACATACAGGAGACTGGATCTGTAAGTAGAATACAACACCTGATAGCAAATAATTTGGGTATGTGTAAAGTGTAAAGTGAGGAGCAGGTTTCTGCAGAATTACTCACTTACTATGGGTGGAGGGAACCTCTCTTACAAAACTATGTAACCTTTAAGTACGTATGTGTAAGTTTATGTGGAAATACTGCATAGATTATCTAGGAATTGGACATTATTAGCTGCTCATAGAATTGATATGAGAAATAATATTAACCTATCCATATGCTTACAAGACTGCAAATAAAATGATAAAATGCTATTGTATTTCTTCTTTCAAAATTCAACTTTGGATGGAATTGGAGACCACTATTCTAAGTGAAGTAACTCAGGAACAAAAACCAAACATCATGTGTTCTCACTCATAAATGGGAGCTAAGCTATGAGGACACAAAGGCATAAGAATGACACAATGGACTTTGGGGACTCAGGGGAAAGGGTGGGAGAGGGGCAAGGGATAAGACTATGATAAAAAAATTAATTAAAACTGAAAATAAATAAATAAAATTCAGCTTAATTTTATTTTTATGCATATAAAAATAAAAACTATGGGCCGGCATGGTGGCTTACGACTGTAATCCCAGCACTTTGAGAGGTTGAGGTGGAAGGATTGCTTGAGCCCAGGAGTTTGAGACCAGTCTGGGCAACATGAGGAGACCCCAGTCTCTACCAAAAACAAACAACAACAAAAAATTGACCAGGTATGGTGGCACATGTCTGTAGTCCCAGCTACTCGGGGGCTGAAGTGGGAAGATCACCTGAGCCCAGGAGTTCGGAGTTATAGTGAGCTATGATCATGCCACTGCACTCCAGCCTGGACAACAGACTGAGACCCTGTCTCAAAATAAAATATAAAATAAAATAAAATATAAAATGAAATAAAATACAAATTATGATAGAAATTATTGGTTTTGAGAATTAATGAAAATATTATGTTAGTTGCTAATCTTAGATTGAACTTAAGTTCTTATGTTTTCCATAGTAATCAAGGAGTTTATTCAAAACCAGAAAATATTATTGTAGTTTAAAAATTACTTTTTGGCCAGGTGCAGTGGCTCACACCCGTAATCCCAGCACTTTGGGAGGCCGAAGCATGTGGATCGCTTGAGGTCAGGAGTTCAAGACCAGCCTGGGCAACATGGCGAAACCCCGTTTCTGCTAAAACTCAAAAATTAGCCGGGTAAGATGGCATGCGTGCCTATAATCTCAGCTACTGGAGAGGCTGAGGTGGGAGAATCGCTTGAGCCTGGGAGGTGGAAGTTGTAGTGAGTAGAGATTGCACCACTGCACTCTAGTCTGGGTGGTAGAGCGAGACACTATCTCAAAAAAAAAAATTATTTTTGAGTGTAAAATAATTCAAATGTGCAGAAAAATGCTAACAAAATTACAGAATATCAAAAATTTATTAACCACCATTCACATTTGAAAGATCTTAATTTTCATGTAGCCTTTTTAAAGAAAATAAATAAGTAAAAATTATCCCTCCACCTTCTAATCCTGTCTACTCTCCTTTTCTTTCTTTCCACAGGTAGCCACTCTCTAAAAGTTAATATATATTTCTCCTGTGCATTTTGGAAATCTTGTACTACATATTTATGTATCTAGACATTTGCTTTTTCTCCAAAACTTATGTTTTTAAGGTTTTCCCATGTTGATACATGCAAATTAACTGTCCATCAGTAGAGGAAATGAAAAATGATGGTTCATTCTTATATTAAATGGTATTAGGGATTACCATAGATAAAATAGATCTAAATGTATTAACATATTAAGCTATTTTTTAAACCAGTTTAAAGGTCCCAACAGTCATGGAATACTTTATTCATATAATTCATTCACTAATTCATGAAATATTTTTGGAAGTTGCTTCTGTGCCAGGTACCATTCTAGCAGCTTAGGGTGCCACAGTGAACAAAACAGATGAAGCCCCATTTTGGCTAGTTTGCCACCTGGAGCGTGTACCAGTTATGCCAGCCTCTGGTTTGCTGCTAAAGGAAAGAAATAAGTATCATGCCCAGAAATGGTCAGGGTGGGATCCTAAAGTTTCCAAATCGGTATTGATAACCTCCCATCCTTTTCTGATCATTACCCAAGAGTCAGGCAAAGGAGATGAAACGTTTCTGTGGGTGGCTACATTCAAGGACTAGACTGCCTTACTTAGGTGTGTGGCCCAGGAGAATGTGAAGGAGAAGGAGTCAGAAATCCTTTTGTGTTGATTTTGAAAATGCTGTTCCAAGGCTCTACAATATCAAATGCCTGTAAATGGCTAGGTGCATAGAATACCCATCAAATACCTTGACCTTTGGCTCATTATTGGGTGGCCTTTGAGACAGCAGGCATACATTCTGACTATAGATTATCTAGAAAGCTGAAAACATGAAAGAGTTTGATTCAAAGACCATAAAGGTATGACTAAAGTCAGATGATTAGTCTAGAACTGCAACACCATAACCTGAAAAATTGTCAACAGTGGTAAGGCATCAATGGCAGTCCAAGAGTGAATCAAAGGTCCAACATAATAAATTGTTCAGGTAAAGGCAGGGACAATGTCTATTGAAGTATAGTGAGTTCTTCATCGAAAGACCAATTTTTGGCAAAAGTCATAAGTCTGGCATGCAGTGGTGGCATCTGCACCAGAAACATTGTTTTTTAATATGTGCCCATTCCACGATGATGGCTGTGTTGCTATGTGTGATGCTATAATAGATCCAGGTGACAATGGTGGCTGTCTGGAAAGTTCAGGCTTAGCAGCTTCATTCCAGTCATTCTCATTCAAAAATGAATCTTTACAAAGGTATGTACTGAGTGACCCAGATTATTCGATCAGCAACCACAATTTGTTTTTAGTTTGTTGCCCTTAAACAGGGCTGTCTTTATTCTGCCAGACCAGATGTCTAAGCTATTGACTACAGACAAAGAATCAGTAAAAATACAACATGTGTGGCCCTCAGAAGTATTGTGTAAGGCAAGGATAATGGCTTTCAATTCAACTCATTGTGGTGACAGGTCCTTACCACAGTCTTCCAGTCTGCCATTGAAGCTGGATGATTACTGCCTCCTAGTAGATACTATCAGCTTTTAATTTAGTTAAATCATCAGTGAGCTAGGCCGGAATATTTAGGAAAACCTCTGTGAATAGAATTCCATTGAACTATTGGTTTTGCTACACATGGTGGAGTCAGGGATAAGGAAGTCCCCACAGGGGTAGCTGCCACTTTTTCATGTAAAACCAAAATGCTGCCATGGCCAGGCTGCCGGTACTCTTGATATACCATTTCCATTTGACTCATAATGCCTGTTGGGCATTCCTAGCTTGTTAATCATCAAGTTGGAGTTGACCTGAACTAAAATGGGAATGGCAAGGCAGAGATTCACAATGCTTGCACGGCTTTCAACAAGACCTTAGTAGCAGGTTAATAGCTTCCTTTTTCACCTATGTTAGGCAGTGATGGTGTCTTGAGAGGTCCTGAAAATGACCTCTCTGAGAATCTGGCAGCCTTTAAGTCTTTAACTGAAGCTGTGATTTCTTTTCTCCCTCTGGGTTTTTATTGTTCTTGACCACCCTAAAGGGAGGGTGCATGTAGTGATTCCTGTATGGGTCCTGTCTATCACTGATGGAACAGGGAAGTATAGGCACATACCACCTTAATTTCATTACATGTTCAGATGTGGAAGTCACAATAGTACATAGTGGTAGCATAAATGCCCCACCCATAAGGTCACTTTAGTTTATTTGTCTACTGTGAACTTTGCCTAGACTCCATCAGTTGAATTCAGGTGCATTTTTCCCTACAGGGATACAGGTCAGGGAGTCTAACGCATGCTCATCAAGGGGTACAGTAGCAGTACCCAGATCATGCTATTCCCCAGCTGTGAGGTTGGGAGGTGCAGGGTTGCTGGTGAGGCTAGTCCATTGGTGGGAATAGTAGGAAGAAACATAATTTTTAGCCTTTTCATTCCCCTTGACCCTTGACTCTAAGATGGATATCTTAGCCCCAGTGCTGCTTCCTTCTCTGTGCACCTCTGGCATCTGGAGAGTGCTTAGGTCCAGGGGTCCCTCTCTTTTTGTCCTTGTCTATATCACTACATTTTGTCTTGTGAGCTTTCAGCCACCCAACATCCAGTGCCTCTTTCTTCTTGCTAGGCAAGTTTGACTATAGCAGAGACCAGGTAGACAGGCATGGCCAGCCCTGTTCACTTTTGCTTTTGAGAGGCTGCCTGCTCATGGTGCAACCAAACTTCTAATGTTTGCAGTTTACCTAAAGGTCTATATTGATGAGCAAAATCCCTATTTCTGACATCACTTATTTCAGTTTTAGGAACTGTTTGACTCCATAGCCACAGCCACACTATCTTTTAGCTGGAGTTTTCTGTTCCTTTTGTAATGTTAATATCCCTTCCTCTGGCCATTTGTAGGAGAGTGAGCAACAGCTAAGACACCATTTCTGTAGCTTGCTTCAATTTTAGCTCTCATTGTTTATCCTCATTAACAAGTAAAACAGTGGGGAACTCTTACCCACTTCCACCCATACCCCATCTACCACTTCGGCAAGAACATTAGCTACTGGATTCCAGGGGGTCTTTTCATATCTTCGAATGAAAACTGTGGGAGCCTTGTCCTTCCTTTTTAAAAAAGAAACATGTTTCTGCCACCAACCCATCCCCCTGCCAAAAGTTAGAAACTATTGAGTAAGCCTGTTACTGTTTGATAGAGGTTGGCAGAAAACATGAGACTCCTGAGTCAGGCAAAAGTATTTATTTCTCATGGCACAGCAAACAGCATGAGCATCAACATATCTGCATTGATTCTCTTTGTCCACAGTTCTGTGTGATATGGTGGTGTGATATAGCTTGGATGGTTGCTATGTGCACAGTGGGTTTGTATAGCTGAGGAACACTAAGTTTGGGGAATTCACCACTTTTATAACAAGCAGTAAAAAGCCGACTCTTTGTCTCAGAGGAAGATTTTACCTTATCTTTCAGGGCTGCTCACTGCAAATCCAACCTTGAGAAATGACCTGGTTAAAGAGTAGTCTGGTCTTGAGGCTGGGCGCAGTGGCTAACGCCTGTAATCCCAGCACTTTTGGAGGCTAAGGTAGCAGATCACTTAGGGTCAGGAGTTCAAGACCAGCCTGGCCAACACGGTGGAACCCTGTCTCATGCCTGTAGTCCTAGCTACTCAGGAGGCTGATGCAGGATAATTGTTTGAAACCCAAAGGCGGAGGTTGCAGTGAGCCAAGATCGCACCACTGCACTACAGCCTGGGCGACAAAAAGAGAAGACTAGGCTGGTCCTGCATTCGCATTCCTGGCAAACCCAACAAGATGTGTATCAATGGGAGAGACCCATAGAGGACTGTCTCCCAACAATAATACTTCTTCATAATAGTTTCATTTTCTAATCTTTTTGAACATATTTTAAATTATTTTTAAAAATTGCATTTAGAAATTTTTTAATATTTAGTTCATTACTCCTAGTGGTTGGTTCCAGGTAAGGAAAGTAATCATTTACTATCCCCAGTTACTCCCTAGAATGTTTCAGCTCCATTGGAGGTATATTTATTTTTCACTAAGATGCTGTGAATGTGTAGTGCTATATAGTGTGCTAAAATAGGTAAATACTGAGTGATACACACATATGTGTGTGTGTGTATGTATATGTATATGCACATACACATAACTATATAAAAATCTATGTATAATGTGTATAACAGTTATATATATGTGTGTGTATACATAGTTTTAAAAACCTTTATAACATCCCTAAATATAGATATTATTTCCACTTACAGATGAAGAAACTGACCAAGAGTGGTTAAAAATTTTTTTCGTAACTTGTAGCTGGCCAAGGGGGCATTAAACACAGGTGTCAAAGTTTGTAACTTTTGACCATACCATGACACGATAAAGATTAAAATATTTCTTAATATATAATAAGTTATATATTACTAAGGACTTAAGACATTACTTATTACATAATTAAAATAGCACAAGACCACAATTAAAGATTATTTTAATCTATATGATGGTTTATAATAAAACAAATGCTGGTGTTTGGGTATCTCTATAGGACACTTGCTTCCTCACCTTTTCTACACAAGTGCACCTTTACATCTTCCTCTTCAGCATGAAGACATATTGGGAGTAATACAATGGTCACTCTTTGATGTTATCCAGAAGAAACAGAGCAGTCATCCTTATAATGTGACCTTATAAATTTGACCCAAATATCTACTTTCTTATGCGCTTTTCTTATATTCTTTCTGCTTGTCCTCAAACACTGATGTTTGCTTGTGTTGGGTGTGCACAGCCTTGTGGTGGTGACAGACAAAGGACAGCAAAAGCCAACATGGGAAATCTTTTGCTATCATAGAGTTCATTTTCCAAGACAAATATCCACGTAGATAAAATCAAGACTTCTTTTCTACTGTTGATTGTATCAATCTAATTCATGTTCATGAACTATATATATGTTATGTATGTGTGTTATATATGTATTATGCGTGTGTGCATGTAAATGCTGAACGTCAATTAGAATTATATACACATATTTGATCAAATGCATTAACAACAAATAGTTTCTAATGCTTTATGAAAAATGTTTGTTTTAATGTTTGACATCTTTTTTTCTTAATAATTAAGAGAATATTGCAATGTCTACTGTCCTCCTCCCATTTAAGCATTTTTTTCTATTGATCATATGTACTTTTCTCTGAAATTCATACACTCATGAAATTCCACTGCTAGCTTCAGAGGACTTAAGCAGATAGGCCTTGCACTTAATTTCACTAAGTGCACCTCAAAATGTACCCGGGCCTTTTATTTTTATTTGTGTTGTCCTTTATTTAACCCTCAAAGACGAATGGCTGAATGATCAATTTTATAAGAAGGTGCTTTAATATTACCGGTTGCATTGACTGTCACTCTTGGTACTATAAATATTGAAGCTTCAAATAGTTTCCCTGGGGCGAAAATTAATGAAGCCTCATTTTGGACAGTCTAGAGACAAAATATAAGAATTTTAGCTTTCTTATTCTTTTTTATCTTCTGAGGTTTAACATTACATTGAGCAAGAGTAAGAGTATGGTATAAGACCCCAGATAGCAAAATAATCAAGCCATTTAATATTCTGCAATAAATAATATCTTCATCCTTGAAGTAGTCAATTTATGTGATGTGTATTATTACATTACATGATCAGTCTCGATGTAATTATGTTAGATTACTGCTACTACTTTAGCATTTGTGTTAACTTGATCAGGATTGAGCTGGAATTTACTTCCCTTTATCTATGGTAATATAACAGCACAGCAAATGTTATAGTTGAGTATGTTCAAAGTATTTAAGAGAACTAATATTCTTTGAGTAGTTTATCTTGATTTGAATCAGGGCTCAATGGAAGCATAATGATTATCTGTATTGAAGCAGGCCCTCATATACTTCAACAGGAGATACCTTAGAGTAGTAACTCCTACTACTATTTCTTTTTCTTTTTCTTTTCTTTTCTTTTCTTTTTTTTTTTTTTTTTTTTTTTTTTTGAGACAGAGTCTCGCTCTATTGGCAGGCTGGAGTGCAGTGGCTTGATCTTGGCTCACTGCAGCCTCCACCTCCCGGATTCAAGCAATTCTCCTGCCTCAGGCTCCCGAGTAGCTGGGACTACAGGTGCGTGCCACCATGCCCAGCTAATTTTTGTATTTTTAGTAGAGATGGGGTTTCACCATGTTCGCCAGGATGGTCTCGATCTCTTGACCTCGTGATCCGCCCACCTCGACCTCCCAAAGTGCTGGGATTACATGCGTGAGCCACCGTGCTTGGCCTCCCTACTACTATTTCTTACATAATATTCTGAATTTGAGATTTATCTTCATATAAGTATTTTAAAATTCTGGTAAAATTTACACAGAGTGAAATACACAGATCTTAAATGTACACTAGGTCAATTTTAACAAATGATCCCAGTCAAGATATATAACTTTTCTGTCACTGAAGTAAGTCCCTTGGTGCCCCCTTCTAGTCAGTTCCCACCGCCACCAACAGGCAACTACTGTTCTCATTTCTATCAGCATAGATTAGTTTTGTCTGTTCTTGAACTGTATATAAATGCAATTATACAGTTTGTTCTCTTTTGTGCCCAGATTCTTTCATGCAGCATAATCCTCACATAAATTTTAATGAGTGAATTTTAATAATTGTTATCACAATTAGCACTGAAATTAGTTACATTCTGGTTTATCTAATAACTAGTCATACATAATTTTTAAAATACAGAAGTTCAATGTATCATGTCTCCTGTTTCTTGATTTTATATTTCATAGGAACTCTCTCTTCTATTCTCAGAGTCTACAAAATGCATTATTAAAAAGGCAGGAAGAAAACTGGGCTTTATCAAGGTAGGTGAGGAAGGGCTGTTGTGTATGTCTTTGTATTGTCAGTATATTTAAAGTGGACTCTGGAGAGGACACATTGGTTAGAAGACAAAAATCATTTTTCTGAGTTATTTCGTAGTTATTAAACTCAAAGGACAAATATCATTACTGGTTGGGGGATTCAGGAGAGAGATAGAAGAAACTATTATTCTGTCTCTCTCTCTCTTATAGCTACAGGGTCTTGCTGTGTCCCCCAGGCTGGAGTGCAATAGTGCAATCATAGCTCACTATAACCTTTAACTCCTGGGCTCCAGTGACCCTTTTGCCTCAGCCTCCAGAATAGCTATGACTATAGGTGTGCACCACCATGACAGGCTAATTTTTAAATTTTTTTGTAGGACAGGCATCTCACTATGTTGTTCAGGCTGGTCTTAAACTCCTGGGCTCAAGTGATCTGCTCACCTCAGCCTCCCAAACCATTGGGATTACAGGGTGTAAGCTATCACTTCTGGCCAGAAAGTATTATTCTTTATTTTTGAAAAAAAATTATTTCAATTGATAAATAACAATTGTACATGTTCATGAGGGAAAGCATTATTCTTTTATTGCCAGTAGAACTCTAAAGTAAAGAAAATGTTTTTTGATTTGCTCAAATAATCTTTTTCACATGCAAAGCACATAAACCAGGATAGTAAATGGGAAGAATGAAAAGATGGAAAATAGTGAAAAATATTATTTTCAGCCTCCCAAATCTTACTTGGAAATTTAGCTGATGAATTTGAAAGTACCAAAAAGTAACATAGTCTCCATGCAATTTCAGCTGATTGTTATGGACACAGGAGTTGGTAAGAATGACATGCTTTCTGTGTTCTAATACTATAGCTGGGTTGGTCATAGGGGAGCAGGTTACAATGGCAATGAGCAAGGAAGCAACGGAAATTCAGCCAAGATCTCTAGATTTATAGTCTTAATATTAGATGGCTGATAGGATAAACTGATTATTAACTAGGCAGAGTAAATTAAACCTTATAGGATGAATTCTAAATTAATATTTGTGATTTAATTATAGAAAACTGCTTGCTTAAGTAAGGCTCTTTGGCCAGTTAGTGTAGTCAATAGAGAAGCAAACTGCTAACCTTAAGGTTGTGGTCGTGTCATCCAGAACTGACAGCTGAGGCCATCTGTGCCTGGAGAATCCTAGAGGCGAGCCTATCAGTCCTGAGGTTTGCTCTACACACTGGCATTTTCTTTCCAAAGGCTGCTTCATTAGAGGAGAGTTCCCTGTAAATCTATTCAGTGTGTGGCATTTGCTTTTGGGGGGAAGCCTTTTTTTCAAACTAAAATCTTAAAAAAAATAAGTGGCATATCATATAGCTCAAAAATAAAAACAATATTTAAAAATATGTGTTGTTAAATCTTTCCTCTCATTCACCTCTTTCCCCAACCCCTTGCCATGTTAGTAACTACTTTCTTCATTTCTTTTTTTTTTTAAGTTTTTTATTTTTAATTTTTTTTAGATGGAGTCTCGCTCTGTCACCCAGGCTGGAGTGCGGTGGCATAATCTCGGCTCACTGCAACTTCTGCCTCCTGGGTTCAAGCAATTCTCCTGCCTCAGCCTCCCGAGTAGCTCAGATTACAGGCATGCCACCACACCAGCCAATTTTGTTTTTTTTTTATTTTTAGTGGAGACGGGGTTTCCCCATGTTGGCCAGGCTGGTCTCAAACTCCCGAGCTCAGGTGATCCACCTGCCTTGGCCTCCCAAAGTGCTGGGATTACAGGTGTGAGCCACCATGCCCGGCTGTATTTTCATTTCTTTGTGTGTTCTTCTAGGGTTTCTTTATGCAAATTTAAGAAAACTTATTGTTTTGGTCTCCTCCTTTTCTTACCTGAAAGGTAGCTTACTCTATACACTGCTCTGTTATTGCTTTTTACCTAATGATATGTTATGGAGTTTTCTATATCAGTACATAGAGGCTTTAGTTTGTTTTGTGTTTTTCAAAAAATGGTTACATAGGATTCAATTGGGAGGATGTACCACAATTTACTTAAGCACTCCTGCAGGGATAGGGACCTTCCCTAAGACTTTAATCATGAATATTACACATATAAGCTTTTGCATACACATAGGTTTGCATTTCCAAACACGGCTCTCTCATTTGTAAAAATAAACGAGTATATCATATAGAATATTTCTGGAATAAATGTTTGAAGAAAGTAATTGTTTCTGTAACTATCACTTCTAGAAAAGCCTGTGTTTTGATATATTTAGCACTAGTAGTGTGAAGCTTTGGGATGAATACCTGCACAGCTCGGCTTTCTCTGTAAGTGGAGTAGGTGCTTTGAGCATTAGTAAAGTAGGATCCTACCAAATTATCTTTTGGGAACGTGATATTCCTAAAGAAATAAAATAGCATACTGTGGTCATCATAGGAAAAATCAGAACTTTGTTGACTTCTTTTACCATTATTTTACAGAGTAGGCTTGTGTTTACTTTGAGTAACTTGTGGGAGAGTAGGGCTCCCAATCTTTTCAGTGATTAGCACCTATCAAGTTTTAATGGAGCCTCAGCAACCCTCTGAGTTAGTGATAAACTCTGTGACTTGGAGAAAATCAGTGCTTAGAGGGAATAAGTAAGTTGACAAATGTTACTTAGCTTGTAAGGGGCATTGTTGGTTTAATTATTAACCAAGACCTCTCAAAAAAACTGCACCCTTGTCACAGTGTCATCAAGTAGGTTAAATAAGATCATGTAGGTCAAGTCCATTGTAGTGAAGGAACTGTTAGTGTCTTGCCCCCACTCACAGGCCAACTTCAACGTCTGTTTCCTCAGGTTACCCCTACCATTGCAACCTCCCAGGCATTGGCTCTCCCTTGGTGGAGCGTGTCAAGGAAACTACCAAGGCCCGTACATTTCTGGCCCTGGAGTGTTTGAGCAAAGTGCTCTCCTAACTACTTTCTATTCCATGCAGAATTGTCCCACTAGTAATTCATGTTTCCTCCCATTTCAGTCTGGTCCTTGTACTGAGTTGCCAGATTCAAAGGGTGAGCATCCTTTCTAGAAGTTGGCTACTAAACATGGGTATATGAGGGCTGGAAGTTCTTCCTCCAGTCTGAAGCAATCCAGACTGAGTAAGAGATGAAGCTGATGATTTGGCAGCCAAGGTTATTGATAAGATCAGAAACTACTTTAAGGCCAGAAACAATGACCATTTTCCCATGTTTTCCTAATTCTAACTCTTAACAAAAGTTCCCAGGAAGGAGGCCATGCTTAGGACAGGAGAGGTTAAAGAGCAGCCTCATTTCTGGTGATGGAGATATTTGCTTTCAGGCAATTCGGACAGTTGGAATCCAAGGGATATGCACAGTAGGGAAGTGAACTTGGCTTTACTCCTTCATCACTGGATCTTGTTTAGAAGTCAGTCTGCAAGGATAACACATAGGAAAGATGCCATAGAAATATGCAAACAAAATGGAAAAAGGGTTTTCTCAAATCACAAGATGAAAATTCAGATGCTCTGTTCTGAATAGGGTTCCCTTGCCAAATTCAGTATCTCTATTTAATCCAGACTTTCAAACATAATTGAAAGAAAAAAAAAACACCCACACATCCAAATCAGGCCAGCATTAACTGAATCCTGAGTTTAAGTCCTTATTTACAACTTTCTCATATTCTAACTCAACATACTGAAAACTGAAGTGACTACCTTCCTCACAAAGCAGTGACCTCTCAATTTCCAGTTTGGACATTACTAGGATCCTAATCATTTAAGCCTAAAACTGTAAACTTTAACAATTCCTTATCTATCACCACTCCTACCATTAATCTAACCATTTACTGAATTCTGACAATTTTCTCTCTCCTAAATCTTTCAATTACTTGCTTAAACCTAACTCTTTTAAATTTGCGATTATATAATCAGAGGCAAACTAACTCTTCCAGTCTTGTCTCACTGCTCCCCTACACACGGCTACACTTTACGTAAATAGAAAGGCCCACAATTCCTGTAAGTTTGTCTCTTGCTTTCCCATCTCTGTACCTTTGTATCTACTATTTCTTCCCTGTGAAATGCCCACATCCAGGGATGGTGTCATGATTCCAGGGCCCAGTGCAGAATGAAAATGTGGAAGTCCTTGTTGAAAAAGTGAAATAAAAGGTTCTCTCTGTTAAAGGTACTAAAATATAAAACAGTTCACTTTTTCCTGTGTATCTCTTCTGTTCAGGCACATGCTCTATTGTCCTACAGGACTTTGCTTACAACATTCAAACTCAAATATAAAATTATTAAGGATAATTTTATTATCAGGATATTATCAGGATAATGATAGCAGAACACTAAACGAAACACAAGCTAGGGCCATATGTGACTGCAGGGGTCACATGCCCACAAACAGCTTTGAACTCATCCCCTTCTGGGCCTTTCTCAATCCTGCCCACCTTCAAAATCAAGTGAAAGGCTTCTGCTGGGTGGATGAGGAAGTGTCCATGCTCTGAGCCTCTGGTCTGCTCTGCCCCAGGATGGCCAAAGTGGCTCCCTCATAGCACTTTGTAGACTTCCCTGAGAATGCCTTTTATCTCCTATTAGTTTATAAGTTTCCTAAGAGAAAGGGCTACAACTTCATTCATCCTGGAATCACCACATGAGTTACATATAATAATTGCTTAATACATGTTTGCTGAAAATGAATACAAGAGAACAAAGCAGAAAGCACTGCTATTTTGAAGCCACATGCAACATTTCCTCGAACTGCATTCTTTTTGGAGCAGATATCACTACTAATGCAAAAGTCCAAGTTCTCCAGCTGGCTAACTGGTGGTGTCTTGTTTTCCTTTTCAGTTTTTAAATTAATCTTTCTATCAATCTTTTTAAGGACATTCCCCTTTAGAGATTATTATTGAATGTTAATAATGGATATATTTGATAGTCTCTAAAATGTATGAATTCACTAATTTATTCAGATTTATAAGCCTATGTTTTCAACTTTTAGAAATTACTTCGAAGAAGAAAAAAGGAACTCTTTTGGAAACACTTTCTACAGATTTTAGTTAAAAAATAACTTATGGTACTGCTTTTCACAGTGGCTTTTGAAAAATTCTGTACATTTAAACAGGTTATCAAAGATCTTCATGGAACTTCTTTGATAAAGAAGTTGAACCATTCAATAAGAACCTTAGACTTCCACCACTGGCTGAATTCTGTAATACCCTAAGAACCGTCATCCAATTCACACCCCTCCCACACAGACACACATATCCATCTTTTCATATAATATTTTGAGTTGAAAACTGAGAAAGCTCATTTGTGCTTGTGGCATAAGCTGCTTTTTAAAAAACACAATAAAATTGAATAAATTTAAACAGCAAAACATTAATTTAAAAAAATGCACCACGGACACTGCATCACTAAGAAAGCCAGTAACTTTACTGAATTGTCTGCAAAATACAAATTATACCTTATTTCCAGCAGGAGAAACTTTTGAAAATTTCCCACTTTTATTCACTACAGACAGCTGAATTAAGTCCCTTGAGATACACAGATGTGGTTTAACTTAGTTATAACATCTTGTCATCTAGTGGCGACAAAGTCCAGCTTATGCCGCTGTGAGCCTCTATTTGAATATTTGTTGCAAATGCTTGTATGCCCTCATTTACAAGCGATTTTAATTACTCTCATTTAATGGAAACAAGTCCCCAGGAAAAGAAAAAGAAGAAAAATGATACAGCAAACCATCTGAAGCAATCCAAGTCCTATGCCTACAGTGACCCAGGTCTACTTTGCTCGAAGAGAACACTGGTACTGCATTCAAACCACAACAGAATCCGTCACTTAACTGACCTCTCTGAATTAAACTGAGGTATGAATCAATTTGAGGTATGAACAGGGAAGGCAAAATGCAATACCAGATTATGAAAATAACCAAAATGGAAAAATTTGATGTAGAAGATATGTGGCTTGGATTGCTCCACATCTTTGGTTAAAACATATTAAGAAAAGCCTTTAATTACATCTGTAGTCTGAAGCATTCTAACAGACACCAGTATTCCAGCAATCTTCAAAAGATCTGTAGTGGCAGGAAATTAACGCCATAAAAGTGACGACATCACGGCAGATGGCACAAATGAGAACAGATGAAGTATGCCATGCTTAGGCAACAGCCTTTATTGAGGGTTCAAGTGGCTTCTTCTTCTTTAAAAAAAATGTTTTTTAAAGAAAGAACTACAAAGCGTTTACTCTCTGGAGAAACAAACAACAAAATAAAGAGGGCAAAAAATGCTATCTCTAAGTTAAAAGATGGGTATGTAAGAAAAACAAATCCATAAAAGTGTGTGAGGGCAGACATTCTTTTAAAAAGTGTCTTGGAATTTTGTTTTTTCATTCTCACTTTAGTTAACTTTTAAATGATCTGGGGATGACAGGTATTTTTATATTCATCATTACAAAATGCTAAATTCCACCTTTGGGAAAAAATAAGCCATTTTACTAAAAAACACAATTTTTAAAAAGGTTGAAATAAACAGCCTCCACGCAGCAATGCATACAATATACAGGTTGTGCAGCTTGCGTATATTGCATCACTGTTACCAGTATTCAAGCTTCATATTACCAAAAATCTTTTAAAATAGGATTAGATATAACAATACTCGCAGCCGTGTAAAATGCCACTTATGGATCTTTTACTTGCAATGAAGAATGTTGCCTAAAATGTTACTCTAGGACGGGTTATGTAAAATAATACTCCCTCAGGGCTCTGCCCTAAAGTCTGGAATACAAAGGATTTACTGTGATTAAAAACCATACTAGCTTTGCAAATACAATAAATGGTAAATTACAGATAAGGTATAAGGGTAAAGATAGACCAAGATTGTTTACAGAAAGTGACTCATCAAAATCAAAATTGTGCTTCTTCTCATTAAATCATCTTTTAAAAATTCTCAGATTATCCCTTCCCTATCTTGCCACCACTTTATAAGAATTCAGTAGTGGGAACAAGAGATGACTGGCATCCATTTTCAAGTGATTCTGTTCTCTTCATGTTCTTATAAAACTATTGTCAGAACTGCTATAAATAGCCAAGGCTTCTGCTGGTACTTTAGCTTACTTTATCTTCAGCATTAAAAATTCACTTTTTCTTTGTTGCTGAGGCAAATTGCAGGTTAAAAAACTAATATGGCTATTTCTTCATATTTTCATGTAATGACCCTTTCCCACCCACTGGTATCTACTGATATTGATATACTAAAGTATTTTGAAATGACAAAGAACATTTGTGAAATGTTTGCATATTTTATACACATCAAGTTAGAAGGATGGGTTGTAAGGATGGGATCAAGTCTATGGTGAGGAAAATGATTTTCTTATTTTATTCCCCTGTGCGTGTGTGTGTATGAGTGTGTATATTTTCAGGGATGTTTTTGTTTTTCCTCTGCATAAATGTTATTCTTTCATGTTCCATGGATACCTTGAGTAGTGGGATATATATGAAATGGTTGATAGATTTTTTTTTTTTAATATATAAAACATTAGTACAAGGCAGGCTAGCATCCTTTATGGATACAACCAAAGGTGCATTGTGGTCTAATTGTGGATTTCAGATCAAGTTAAGAAAAATATAGCCTAGTTAATAAGGTCTCTTGGCTTCTGCCACCCAGCGGCAGCCTTTTACAATGAGAAACACATAGCAACTATGCAAGTAAAAGAGAAAAAATGGATAAGAAATGTCCTACACATGATATAGCAGTGTTGATATTACTGCCTATATCTTCTTTGCTGTGTATGTCAATGCATATGATTGGAGATGAATCGACAGATCTTCACATTCCAAGAGAAGGAAAATCTTTCCTAGACTGAAATATCTTTTAAACAATATATATTGACTTTCTTATGGCACTCACTTATTAAAGGGTCTGAAAATTAATCCCTTATAGACGAATATTAGACAAGAGTCATTTTTTTTAAATTAAAAAAAGGGACATAGAGAGGTTCTTTATGGGATTTCTTGAAATGGCTATTAAATCTCTTTATTGAAGAAAAAATAGATGACATACATGCTTTATGCAGAAGTGACATTTGGGGGTCCTGACACACCGGGATTGTTCAACAGTCCTATATTGCTGACAAGATTGTCAAGGGTCAGTTAAAATAATTAAAAACGGATGACAAAGCAACTATCCCTTTACCTGCTTCCTTCTTGTCTAGCACCCAGTCTTTCACATTTTTCTTCTGTGGGAATTTATAACTTATTCACCAAGTAAATTCCATATCACTTGTTTCTAGGGCCATATTTGCAGGACATGTGCCCCAACATAGCTTTTCTATTCTGGGCATATTTCTAAAAAGCGTATCAAATTCTAGGCTGAAAACCAACCAGATGATTTAGAATATGGGCAAGTTAGGATATGCACTTACTGAATTCCAAGATGCATGGTGAAATGGTGAGATCAGAAAGGGGCCCTGCATTTGATAAAAATGCAAAAAACAAAATAAAAATAGCATGAAAGAAACTAGTATATACAATGGATGTCAGTTGACCCAATAGATTGCTAATGTATTAAAAACAATTTAGGGTGTTGCAATGTGATATGTTCTAACCCCACAGGTTATCCTTTTGACAGCTGACCTTAAACTTATAAAATGTAAGCAGAGTAAAAGAAAACAGAAAGAAAATAGTTACTCAAATGTGCAACTGCACAAATATACCCCCCTCCCGCTATTAAGATAACAAAACTTCTGCTATTACCATAATATTATATATATTAGAAAGCTATACACAAGCATGTTAATTTCACAGATTTTTTTAAAAGATTCTTAATATTTTATATAATTAGAAATACACATTTCAAAAACAAAACTTCTACAAAGAGAAAACAGTTATCTTGGTTAGCAAAGCATGGAGTTCTTCATGGCTTAGGGTAGTGCTTTCTATACAAAAAGTCCTTTTTGGTTTTTTACAGGACTGTTTAAAATATTAGCGAAGCTATCAAGGGGAAAAAAACACATTTTGGCTTAAGTAAACTACAAAAAGCCACAAATGCTTTGCAAACTCTGTCTTACCTTTTATATGAAAATAAGCAAAATGTAATGTACATATTTTTATATTTTTATTTAATAAGAGATGCAGACCCAGATTTATTTATTTATTTAATTAAATATGTTAGCCCTCCAACTCCACATTTTTTTTTAATAGGTATGGTCCTCTTTTAATGGTCTCTGATCCTTTTTAATGAGTGCCATACGCCAATGATATGCCTGCAGGTTTGTGAGCATTCTTGGGATGTCAGGTGACCTGGTGTGTTCCTAACATTTACCAATGGCCACCCATTACCGGGTCTGTCCAAGCATCTATACATTTTTCTATATGTTGCATAACAGCTGCTCTCTCTTTCAGTAAAGATCTGCCGCTTTTGGCAAATGTTTCCTTTTGTCTATTTACATGTAAATAACGTTGAACCTGCAACATGACACTATCTATTGTAACATACATTTTGCAAAGGAGCACAACAGTGAAAAGAAGTTAGCCTTAAAATCTATTTTGTACAAGTGTTCTGTTGTACAACTCAAGTGCTAAGCTTATCTCAGCATTTCTGTTTATCTTTATACTGTATCACTGAGGCAATTTAAAAGTACTTTTACAAAACAGAGTACCTGACTTTTTTTTTTTCCACACACGGCACATATAATGCATATCGACCCCCCTTCCCCATTAAGGTATAGCACACACACACACTGCAAGAAAAAAAAAAAAACTAGTAAGTAATAATCTGATCATGTTGCCCATCCTTCAGAAAGTCGCATGCGCTTGACTGAGGGACTTTCCCTTTCGTCCGGCGAAGGTCTGGTGAGTCCAATGGGGGAGTGGAATTCGTTCCGGTGATCCTCTCGGTCGCTCCCGTCGTACGAACTGCTACAGCTGCTCAAGCTGTCAACAGGAGATCTCCCCGCCTCGTGGCGCGTGTGTTGTGGGTATCTCGAAGGGGTGGTGGTACGGTCTCTAGGAGGAGAAACAGGTTCTGACTTGATGTTGAGGCTTTGAGTAGAAGGCAGGGAGAGATTTGAACTCTGAGATAAATGAGTGCTAGTGCAAGCTCTGTAGGAGGAAAGGAAACCCAGTTACAGATGAAGGAGGCCTGGAGGCCCCAGGAACTCACAATTAAATCAAACATCAGCTTAAAGACTCGCATAGACACCAGAGCATGCCCAGAGTGAAGAAAACGTGCTTGGAAGCACATAAGGGCATCGCCTTCTCAGGGCGATTTAGGATGCCTTTGTTGATTTGCCCGGTAGTAATTACAGCATTTAACTGGTCCAGGCCTCATGAATTATATCTCTAGTCTCCGAGAGGCTCCCTAAACATATAGGTTACCATTTCAGAAAGGTTTAAGACACAATGGAAAAAGCATTTTCTGTGTTCATGGACTCTATCCCTAGACTAGTTCTAAAAATTAAATTTCTAAGCATTTAGATACAGTGTTTAGCTCTGGAATTAGACTTCCTTGATTTACTAATGCTTGTGTTTGAATATTATTTTTAAAAGCTTATTATCAATATAAATATTTGCCTCCAATTAATAAGCACATACAGATGGAATCACATAGTCTTCAGAGAAAGTGAAGGGAGTTAAATTTTAAATGACTAGAACTCAAATGCTGCACAATAACTGTATCTGGTAAAAAGCTTTGGAGGTGGAAAAAATGGAAAGGGGGAGGGAAATTGAAAATTATCTGCAGAAAGTTTAAACGTTGGTTTTCAAACACTTAAGACTTTCTACTCCATTAAAACTGATAATTTGACTTTCTTCATCCTTTTGCAGTTACATGAGATGAAAATACTTTGTGTTCCACAATGACCTCAATTTTATTAATGTTAGTCACTCCCTGATGCGTGCGGTTCTTAGGCTACCACTCCTCTTATTTATCATTGGCATTAGTTGATGAATCTGGTGTTGCCTAAGGAAAGCTTGTTGCCAAGAAGGATGTAGTGTGATTTTACTGTGTTTATAATCCTTAATCCTCATATATTCCCAGAGAGAATAATTTTTCCTTTTTCCAAAATCTGGGAAAATTTAGAAACTTGGAATTCTAGAGGAAAAAAGTATTAAGCCCTTAAGTGTAGATTAGCAATCACAATGACTTTGATCAGGATAAACCATAGTGGCATTGCTCGCATCAATTTTAAGATGCTTTTACTCTTCTTACACTAATTACACTGACTTCCAGAGCTAGAGTCAGGATTACTTGACTATATTGTCAAAAGAGCATGGTACTCTCTTTTACTGAGGAAGAATCCAAGTGAAGAATTATCCATACAGACACACCCATTTTAAACAAAGGAAAGCAAGCCTACTTACTAATGTATGTAATTATGCTGCTTTCCAGTGGAGAGAATTAGTTGGCACTAACAATGTCATTATGACCACTGAGAGAAAAAGTATATATTTCAGAAAAAAAGTGAAGTAACTTGGGGCTGGCTTTTTGGGAGATGCAATACAAACTCAAGATGTATAGTGATATAAAATTAGTCAGAAACGAGTTTATCTTTGAGTGATGTTTTGTACAAAAGCACCACCTACTGGCAAAGAATTACTTTCCTTCTCCTATTAATAAATAGATGAGCTAATGTAGAGAATAATATAAAGGAGAATTATTTGTTTCCTTAATAAGCGTCTCTTTCTCTAGCTTTTATGATCTTATATAATCAAAGCAGTGTTAGCATTTATATCAAGAAACTACACTGACTGTATATAATTTTCAAACACCTGTTTATATTTGGAGCTATTTATTTGTAGCTTATTAATTTATAGTCTATCAGTTTACTAATTTTCCAAAAGTTTTAATTAAATAAGCCTTGTTAAAATGGGGAGAGGGAACACCTGTATTTCAAAAGGATTCATAATGGTAGACTATTTTATCTTGGTTCAAAGTTACTTAGTGATTCATTCTGATGTTTGAGGAAATCGTCTTTTGATTTCTGGAATAAAGAATTTTCCTGGCTCTAAGAAAGACCATTTCACTAAAATTTAATTAAATGCTTCTGCTATGAATCACACAACTATTTAATAATGAATATGAATTAGGAGTCTGAAAATAAAAAGTGATATGTCAATAAATACTTTTGCTTGCTCTTTGACATACAGATTATGTCTTCACAGGGAGGGTGACATAGAAAATTAGAAGAAAAAATTGGTGAGTTGGACAGTCTAAGCAGTTAATCTAGACAAGGTAAGGGAAAAATAATATAACCAAAATTCTGTTTCTTTAATACAGTTTTTGGAAGCTGCATTATTCACCTCTTTGCATCATCTTCCTATGTTAACTGGCCTGTATAGGTTTAGCTGTGTATCTTCCCCATGAAAGATGTAACAATTATTGGTTATCCCTTCCTACAAACAGACTAGCTTAAATTTATCTTTTGGTGGAATTTCATTTGACACTGAAAACATACATGAAGCATTTTGAGTAGTTCTGGGGACTAAATCCACAGTAGTAAAATGCAAGTGATATCTTAGATTCAGCTTCATTATACTGTGACATAGGATATAAAATAGAATGGCTAGTCTCTGTTAACAAAGAAGTATTTTCTTGAAAAGAAAAAAGTAGCATTAAAATAACTTAACTGCATATATGCTAGGTTCAGATATAAGCATGTTGGTCTACTTGAGAACAAAATATAGACACGAATAATTATAGACCCTGATAATTGTGAAATACTGCATATGTGTGGGTGGGTGATAAAGAGGTGGGTGGGGAGATAGAAGCCAGATATGCAAGTTACCCATATCAAGTCCTCTATGCAAATTTTCATCTATTACAGATGCTTTTGAATTGGGAAAACTCCTACCCTTTCCCATAATTGTTCAGAAATCAAACATGACTGGATAGTTTTATTCAAAATTTTTACTGCCTCCGCCTGGAAATTAGACTATCAAACTATATTTAACCTAACCTTTTATAAGTCATCTCTACTCAGAGTTATCTCTCTCAGTATGTACTGAACACCCACATCAACAAAGTTGACGTATGGAAATGCTTCCAGAAAACAGGCTGCCCTTTTTATAGGTGGTGGTTTAGAAAAACACTAAAACTTAGTGTTACACTAAATCAAATATTAGTATTCAAAGGACTTTCATTAACTCTTGATGGCAAGTTCCTCTGTCAGCCATCTCTCTCCCTATAGCAAATAAATTTGTGTTGCTTACTTAGCTTGGTTAGATAAAATCAGATACTAGGTTTTAAAAGTATAGCTTTGAAGACTTAAAGCTCCAAAGGACAAAATGAACTTTTTTTCCATGGACAAAATATGAAGAACTCTGTTTATGGTTTTGCAATTTTGAGAAAGAATTGTGGTAACCATCTTGGGCTGCTGGGAATATCTACTTTGGTGGAGCTGAAATATATTCCACTCTGCTATGAACATTGTCTCTAGCCAAAAGAATGTGAGCCCGCAACACAAATCTCTGCGACAACTTTGGCCTGGAAAATGTATCAATTCTTTTTAAATTGATTTACACTGTAAAGAATTAAGGATGCTCATGTGAATTACTTTACATAAGTATTGCAGCTTGGGATTTTTTAAAAAAACAGTTTAACATTTAATCGTGTGAATATGAGGTAGTCCATGTGAAGGAACCTCCTTTCAAAAAGCTACTCTGTGTGTGATTGTGAGAGGGAGAAAAGAGTGTGTGTGAAGCAGAGAGAGAGAAGGGCCAACAGTGGAAGGACTGGAAGGGTCATTCCATTGATTTGAGGGGTAAGGGAAGTGATTAAGTGCAATTAAAACTCACAGAGAAAACTAAGAGTCAAATTAAGCACAACGAAATTAAGTGTTGAAAGGAACCGGGAGCTGAACAAAATGCTTAACCTTTGGCTGTTGTAATTCAGTTCCTTTCTGTCTAAGGCTGTCCCTCCTTTCTCATTTTCTGAAACCTCTATTAGAGGCAGCAGAGAATTAGATTCTTCCTTGTAATAGAAAAGAGTTTTAAAATTGTAGTACAGCTAAAATATGTAAATAAATATGTGTTTATATGTAAAAATATAAATTATCAGGTACTATTGAAAACAAAAAAAAGCCACATTCAGAGAAAATAATATGGCTTTTGACATTGATAACTTTTAGGGAAATCTAGCCCTATAATGGATGAATTTTGTGAAAAAAATGGGAAATAAGCAGTTATGTTTATTTTTGACAAGAATCATGTTCAGTGGATTCCCTGCTAAGCCATAGCAGTTGATACTTTGTACAAAATATGTATACATGTACATATTTTTTAGTTGCCTGGATGGAATTATGTGCTTGGTGATAATTACCTGAAGAAGTTCCCACAGTTAATGTCTACTTGAATAGTTAACATTCCAGAGAAAATTTAAGTGTCCTAAAAAGATAAAACTCTGCGCTGATCAATATGTAATGTATCTTCAAAGTTAACTATCTTTCAAGAAAGCTGACCAACAGTATCACGTGAATTTATCTTACTATTTAAATGAAAGGTTAGATTTTCAATGACAGTGATTAGCGGGTAGGATGAACATAAGCAAACAGTGTACGGGTGAATATTTCATAATCAGATCACTAATATATGCTAAATCACTATCATGTGAAAGCTAGTGGGTGGGGGGAGAGAGGGCACCAGCAAACATAAGAGACACAAAGTTGTGGTATAAATCAGTGACTTTTATACTAATCAGTGTTTTATTCTCACTGTCTCCTTAGACATATGGATATATAACTAGTTAACTAATACAGCTAAGTGATTAACGATAACAAATGGCTAAGCAGAAAAGTAAAAGTGGGCTAGGCAGACAGAATATTTTTAAAATATAAAAGCTTGTTATCTTTAAATATTTTATATCCTCCTGGTATTTTCTTTTGAAGATTAATTGCAATTTTGGACTTATTAAATTTACAGTCAGGCTTTCAGTTAACGTTTTAAGCTTTTTTAAAAAAATGATTTGTTTTATATGAAATAGTGTGAATTGTGAATTCAGAGCTTTTTAAAGGTTTGAACGTTTCCATAGATAAATGACAAGAGTCATTTCTATGATAAAGACATATCTGAAAACTACCACAAGGGGGCAGAAAGATACATCCTCTGACTACATAAAACAAAAATTATTTTTATATCCAAATTTAGGTAATTAGTATTATATGTACTAGTTAGTATTATATACATATATTTCTTAAAATATCTATAAGTATACAACTATACTATGAGTACATTATAAATACATGAAGCCTGTGTATCAATTGACTAGTTGTTCCTATGTGTATTAGGTTAACATTAGCATAAACCATATGGTTTATGTGAAAAAAGAAAAATTCTCAAATATCTAAGCTTATACTATAAATGCCTTCTTATGTCCCAAATGAACTGTGTGAAAACTAAATAAAAATTATATCACTGATAGAAGTGGAAACAAATGTAGCCTAAAACAATAAGGAAAGAATTTACCTCATTATTACAGAGCTCGCTGTCCTCTTAAAAAACAGGTATATAAGATTTAAGCTACTTGAAAAGTATTGATCTGAAAATTACACTTGGATTTCAATAAAGTAGAGTTTTATACCCGTTAATGGGATATTGAAGCACATATTTAGAGACTGTCATTTGTTTTTCAAAATACATTCTAAAATTATATTATAAAAAATAATATTGCTTACCCCAACTGACTGAGGGCAGATGGTGGCATGTTATGTAGGTGTTGCTGTTGCCAGCCAGTTACTGAACCAAGGTGAAGAGCGCTGGCGGTGTTAAACCCAGACAGAGATGACAGGTCTGCACTACTCAGAGAGTACTCTAGATTAAAGAATAAAACAACAAGGGAAAATATTAAATTTAGAAATTATCAAATGGTAAATAGAATAAACATTTTCAATTTCCAAAATATTCTATTAGGATTATCGTTATTATAGATATTTTTAATTTTGAGGGGAGGGGAGATAAAGCATCAGCGATAATTCTAATTTAAAAGGAATATACTATAAACCAAAAATAAGTATTCCACGAATGCTCTGAAGTAGCATAGTCCGCAATTCTAGTTTATTAGAACTACAATCTAGTATAAAGGTATGTACATATTTGATGATGTAGAAATGTTAAACAATCCTGAGAAAGTGAGCTTTTTATTACATCAAAGAAACAGCTCAATTTTCTTGAAAGTGTGTTTCTATTTTGAACTCAGGTTGCATAAATAAAACTTTCAGTCAGTTAAGAAAGAAAAATGTGGATATTCACTTTGTCTTAGTGAAGAATGGGTAATGCTGCAGTGCTGTGGACGGCGCAGGCCCTAAATAAAGCTTCCTAATAGAGTAAAAGATAACTTTTTCATCTTGATTTTCAATAAAAAGTATTTAGTGTACTAATTGCACATGACAAAGCTACTCACCGGTACCATATGTTGTTGAAATGGCTGATGGATATCCTCCCATTCCTTGTCCTGGTAAAGTAGGAGTTGCTACGGAAACCACTGGGGTAGCCAATGACTGAGCCGACTGGGAGTTATTTATCCTTTGATTCTTTTAAAATAAATAAAAAGACATTACTGATGAATTTTTTTAAAAGTTAAAAATATTAGATTTCAGTATTAGTTTTCCACATAAAGAGATAACTTGGTACAAATCTCATGAAATTAATCATTTAACATGTGTCTCTATGAACTCTGCCAACCCTATCATTTACAATCCTTCAAGAGACCAGCTGTTGCCATAGTAACCCATTACATCAGTATCTCCTAGGCAACTGAACTAGTAACAAGTACCATAGCTTTATTATGGGTAAAAACAGACTATGTTGAAAACTGATGAAATATGTATACTGTACTTCCATTGTTTCAGTTTTCATTCAAATGCAAATTAAAAAAAAATTAAAATCAACCATGGTAGTTTTTATGTTCAGTTCTACATACAGCAGAGAGCAAATGAGTAGGGGCTCATGTTATATTTTGACCAGCAGGTGGTGCTGTGACCACTTTGTTCAGATTCTTCTAAACTTCCCTCAAACTAGATGGCAAAGCAGCTAATGCGAATATTTAACTCATTACAGTAAAGAGATAAAAGATCCACCACATAAACTTAAAATCATGAGACTTTAATTCCCAGAAGAAGAAATATTTTAGTTTTATGTAATGAAAGAATATTTTTGTTTGAATTTTACTATAAATTGTCCTAAAATATTGAAAACAGAAAAAATATTGAAACAAAAAAAAAAACCTGACATTCTTTTCACCTGTGAGTGATGCCAGAAATTAATGGTATTTAAACATAATCAATGTTGACATACTGTGGTAACTTCCAATATCTTCCAATTTTATCAAAGCTACCACCTCTACCTAAAAGTAGCTTTGCACATGCCATTTGAGGGAAGCGCTCTCACCACTTACCAAAAGCAGGTCGACATCCTCAGACTGAGAGCATGCGGAAGGAGTTTTATTAATTAGTGTCCGTAAATATTTATAATTGGGCAAAATCTTTTCAACAAAAGGAAAAGCATCTTCCGATAGACACAACAGTTTAAACAGTTTTAAAACCCAGACTCCAAAGATAACTCCTTACAAAGACATTCTTTGTTTCCCTTAATGAGCTGTTTGTCTCAAATGTGAAGACAATCTACCCGGTTTTCAGCCCAGGTCAGTGTCTCAATGTTCATTATTTCATCACTTCATTTTGAAGGAAAAAAAAAGACTGTGCTTTGAAACCTCACTTGCTGGAGGAAGGGGAGCTACACACCTGGCTGCCAGAGAGGGACCTAACTGACCCATCACAGATTCCCTGGGACAGCATCAGTTTTAAGGGACCTGGAATAAATCTGTTGATAGAGATGGCCTGCCATGCACGGCCCACACTGCTTGGCTGTAGCCCTGTAGGAGGTTATATTTATTAGACCCAGTTTTTTTCTGAAGGGAATGTTGCATATTATGTGATGTTTTTGGTTGATATTCAAAATTAATCTGCACTGTGCCATAATAAACTAATCAGCTCACAGGACTGTTTTACCCTGAAGCTTGCCACAGAGCAGAGAAAGAAAAAAGAAATAAATGTGTTTGCAGAATGATCTAAATTTGTCTACCGAATCTTGGTTTTAAACGTTCTTGCTCTTAAGCAAAGCTAATTTGTAGAACACTGATGTAAGTCTCTTTGTTGTTGAATTTGGTCCCATAACATTATCTTCATCTTAGGCATGCAGACCCAGAAGAAAGAAAAATGACAGGGTCTGGGGATATAACCTCTATTTAAAATTTCTTATTTATTTATCTTCCTTAGAGGTGCTACAATTCTTTTTTGATGTAAAATATAACCTTTGTTCCTAAAATGCCTAGGATTTTAATTTGCTTTTGAGAGATAGCTATTTTCATGAAGTAAATGTATGGAAAGATGAATTGAGGCAGTGTGTAGGCATGCGATGTATTAGATATAATCATTGCAATACATCTAAGAAAGGATTTGCTAATTAACAGGAGAAAGTTCATTTAGAAATTGTGGAAAGTACTTTCTCATTGTCAGCGTGTTGAGGACATAAATATTGTAAAAATACTATGTTATAAAGTACCTCATTACCTATTATTACTCTGCTTATGGGACGTAGAGATTGACCGATGGTAGTGTCTGATTTTTTTCCAACTATAAATTGAAAGCCTTAAAAGAAAATGTTTTTCTTATCCTAGAACATCAGCCTAGTGAAGTTCACCAGATATATATATATATTTTTTTTACACGGAAAAGGGAAATGCAAACCAGTTACCAGAAATAATAGCTAAATACAAGCAAGGCTCTGTCAATGGCACTGTTATGTTAATTTTCTGGGAGAATGTTAAGTAATTCATCAAGTTAGACAAATATAAAAACAGCAAAACATATACAAAACATTATCAATATTTATTTAAAATGTAGTTTTGTATTACCACTGATGGCATCGTATTCTTGCTGCCTGGTGGAATAAGAACTCGGAGATCTGGTTTACGGTTATTCATTCCTAAATTCATTGGGGGAGGAGATTTTGCTTGCATATTCTTGTTCAAGTTACCAGGTGAGACCAGCAGACCTGGTGAGTTTCGGGGATTGCCATACCCGTTCCCTGTTAACAAAAAACAATAAAGCATTTAGGAAGAAATCTAGGTCAAATACGTTTCCGAAGAATACACAACATGAGAATAAAAACAAAAGCTTAATGGTAAGACGTACATTGCAAAACCATAGGATGACTGATTTGACCTCCATGGGACAAGTAACCCAATTAAGTATTCAATAGTCCTCTGAAGGAAGATTAAAAACTTTTTATGAGAAGAGAGCCAATATACATCAACTTGCTCAGAAGTCAGCATATACTTTTTTTCCTATCAAAAATATTCAGGAAGAAAGTCAGACAGTAGTTCAGGGTCTAAGAAAAGCACAGAACTGGTCTTGCACTTTAATTGACTAGCTTGGCGGAGGCCTGGCTGGCGTGACTCACTCTTTCAGTTCACTGGTTTGGGTTTTATTTTGTGTGTCTGTGTGTCCTTAAATGAAGAAAGGGCATACCAGCAAGACTGTAATTTCTAGGACAGGCAGGAGGAGGGGAAGCCGCTTACACATTTTGCTGTTCAGTTCCGCTTTTCTCTGAGTGAATTCTCTCTATGGTTTTTCTTCCATCTGCTTTGCCCTCCTTACTAAGTTCAGTGTACAACCCTTGCTTTCCTCCTCACACAGAACTTCAGAAAGCAAGACTCCTTCCCTGGAGCTGAAATGAAGTGATGATGCCTCCGCTAAAGTGCTGATTCACCAAGGCACAGGAATAGCCATTGAACTGGAAGACTGAAAGGGTTTTCTTAGGTCTCTGATGTTCAGTATCCTACTAACAGAAAAGTGGGTATCCCAAGGTCTGCGTTTTTCATATTTCAAAATATGACCAAGAGAGCTAGGGAGGAGTTGATTACAAATGCCAGCAGAGCTGGCATGACAGTGGACTCAGAAAGACATCTGCTGATTTCCTCCACTGCCTCTGAAGGGAGAATAAGAGAACTCAGCTACCTGATTCAACAATCCTTGCTAGAAACTAGACAGTTGTTTTCTGAAGCTTTCTAAAGGAGACAGTTAAACCTCATTGTTATTGCCATCATTACAAAACACAAGTATCTATTACCCCTGCATGAGTGAGATTGTGTGCTACCCAGTGAGGATGCAAAGACAAGGCCCCAGGCTTGAAAAGCTCTGAAATCTCTTTGTGGTAATCCAATACATACTCATGGAAAACATAAAGACCAATACAAGGCAGCGTAGGGTGAGGTGCCTGCAGAGTAATCCAGATTAAGTGTTATTGAGTTCCCGGGAGAGAAGAGGTGATCCAATAAAAGATTCACAGAAGAGGCAGGAATTGATGAGGGCCTTAAAGAAAGGCCATAGGAAGATATGTTAGGCTTGTGACTGGGCAGTAGGAAAGGGCTGAGGTAGGAGTTTAAAGAGCATGGTAAGGGGCACTGAGAGGAACCTGTTTAGAAGGGGACCCGTGAAAAGAGAGGGGTGTCAGAGGCTCTGGAGGGATGCAGGGGTTGGGCTGTGGAGATCTCAAATTCCAGGCTAAAAGTCCTTGGGTTTATATGGTGGAAATGAAAGTTTCAGAGTAGAGGTATGACACAGACCTCTAAGTGGTCAGAAAGATCTACTGGCATTGGTATACTCAGGAATTAGTAAGGCCTGCTAGTGTGGACCAGTCTGGAGACTACTTTGATGGCCTGAGATAGAGGCCATGAGGAACTGGGAAGGCAGAGCAAAGGTATATTTCAGGAGATATTTATGGGAACATCTTTAGAAGCAAAATATATTTGAGGCACACTGTATAAAGCAGATTTGTTCTTCATATCCCATTCATTTACCTGTCTCATTTTATGCATGAATAAACAGGCTGAATATATAACAAATAACTACAAGATTAAGTCTGTCAATTGGATTATGAATAAAATTATCCCAGTTCCTGGGGCAAAAAAACAAAAATAAAGCAAACTGGACACCCCCAAAACGTGTGTTAAGTGACAGGACTCACTTAAGAAATGTTGGTTGAATCTGAATATCAATTCCCTTCTATAAGAAAACTTCTGGAATATTAGCCAAATTCTCTAAAGCTAGATAAATATGACAAACCCCCAAATTTTCTTTACAGTAAATTCGAACAGTATTCCATGGCAAAAGCTGTTACATAAAACAATGCATTTACTTCCTCTCACTAGAAGAAAAAAACAAACAAAAGAGAGTATGTTCACTTAAAAAAAAAAAGCTTGACAAAATGGAGTGCTTAGAGGAGTTTTATATTTAATATGTCATCCTGAATCATTATTGTGAATATGTTATGAACTTAGTTTGAATTAATAGATTCTACGGGATAAAAAGAGAATAAGAACATCAAGGTCAATTCTGCTCTATACTTTGCTGTCAGCTGAAGGTCAGATGGACACACTGAAGACATATGTCACTTATCTATTAAGCCTGTGTGAGATCTGGTTTATATAAACAATCAAATGGAAAATTAGCTGGGTAATTTCAAAAGAAGGGGGAGAAAAAAGTCTGTTAAGCAGTGCAATGAAGCTTGAATAGATCAGAAGAAACTAAAACCCCAGCTCGGTAGATGCCGATACTGGTTTGCATGGAGGAGTTATTTTGCTAAAAGGAAGTAAAACCGCTTCGTGAAATGTGTTGTCCTGTGATATGACAAGCACTGGGCCAGTGTGCGAAAATGGAAATGCTTCACGGAGGCCTTGAGAAAAGTTTGTTTTTTTTTTTTTTTTTTTTTTTTTTTTTTTTTAGCATTTTCTACAGTAAACTCTCTGAGAAATTCCAACAAAGCCTATGTCTTTTTGCCCACATTTTAAACAGTGATTCAGGGCAGCAGTAGGGGAAAAAAAAGTAAATATACATTGTAGCTTTTCATTCAGTAAATACCTCAAAACTAAAAAAATTGATTTTAAAAGCCTTCTATTTTTCTCTTGGAATATTTCCTGTTATTTGGAAATTACGCCATTTTAGAAGATTAGTCACATATTTTAAGGTGTTTACATACTGAAATGTAAAATATTTTGAACCATGATGACACTTCTTAAATTCATATTTTTAGAGCATCAAGTTATTTTTAAGAACAAATAAATTCTGCTTTTTGCTAGTGAATTTCTGCTGTTTTTAGCATATTGTGCCAGCTAGCATTTTGGAGCCGTATAATAACCATTTCTGTTTCCAGCCACCAAATTGTTATTCTTTGGACATAATATAGATTCAGGAATGCAAGACTGTGGATCCTAAACCAGTGATATAGAAACCTATGATTTGAAAATCAATGATGAATACATGCGTGTGGTTTACTGCTAAGAAGAGCCTGCATTTAAACCGGCTGGGAAACCGCAGCCTCCTCCTCACTCAGAATGCTGCGGCCTGTGTTGAGCCTGTTGTCCCACCTTAAGATAAATTCACCAAAGAGAATGGTCGCATTTAAATTCAGGGGTCCGGGAGGTGGGAAACACCACCTCTCAACAACCTTCTAATATATGGATTCAACCTTTTTTCATGCTATGTTTTAAAATTACCCTCTGCCTGGACAATTATCAATTTAGACGTGACTGTATGCAGATGTCACATTCCTCTGACCACTTAAAGGCACAAAAATTATAAAGCAGGAGTGAATGGATTTCCTGATTATAGATTATAAGAAAATGAAGTACAGACCAACTTTAGAGTCAGTTTGTTTTATAGTTTCATTTGATTAAAAATATTGTTTTACATAAAAATAACAAATTTAAGCATATATGAGTTAACTTACATAAAGGATTAGAGAATCTACCTCTTCTGGTTACAAGTTTGTATATACTCATATTAGTGTCAATACATAGAACTTGAATGTGGTGTTAGGAGAAAAACATTTTTCTCCCCAGTTAACTTGCAAACACTTGCTGCATTTTTTTTATTGACTCCTATTTTAAGAAGTCGTAAATTCAAAGAACATATTCCTGGCTTAAGATATTATGAGGAAGGCATTTTGCCTTGTCTCACAGAGCTCACTTGAACATGTAGCTCTCTTTGAGCTCAAAGTTCTGAAACTTTCTTTTATTTGGATGTTTAGGCATTTTGAGTTTTCTTCACTTGTTTCTTTTTCTTTTCTAGGACTTTGAATTATGAATACAAGCATATAAGACTAATAAGCATAAACAGAATTAGTCACTATGGACCATGGCTAATTCTGCCATTGGCATAACCATTTTTTAATCTACCAAACTGTCATCTTCTATTATCCCCTCTCCTCCTTCCATCTCCATATCCAATGAGATACCAAATCTTATTCATTTTTCTTCAGAAATGCCTGTCTCTACTTCCACTGCCACCATCTTAGCTTTGGCTTCCATCACCATTTGAATAAATATTTCAGCAACTCGGCCGGGCGCGGTGGCTCACGCCTGTAATCCCAGCACTTTGGGAGGCCGAGGCGGGTGGATCATGAGGTCAGGAGATCGAGACCATCCTGGCTAACAAGGTGAAACCCCGTCTCTACTAAAAATACAAAAAATTAGCCGGGCGCGGTGGCGGGCGCCTGTAGTCCCAGCTACTCGGGAGGCTGAGGCAGGAGAATGGCGTGAACCCGGGAAGCGGAGCTTGCAGTGAGCCGAGATTGCGCCACTGCAGTCCGCAGTCCGACCTGGGCGACAGAGCGAGACTCCGTCTCAAAAAAAAAAAAAAAAAAAAAAAAAAAATATTTCAGCAACTCTCCATCTGGGCCTCTGGTCTCTACTTGAGGGGTTCTTCACCAGGCCTTAAGAGGAGTTTCAGGCCTTCAGAGGAGTTCCTTAAAGCTGTATGCAAACTTTTGTGCATTTGTGTGATGCTAACCAACCCACTCAAGGAAGTCTTTCTGAACTGCTACTTCCATCATGTTCCTTTTTCATACATGAGTGCTTAACACAGTTGAGTCAGTGCCCTGCCTGGCTCTCAGAACTGTCTACAGTTGACACACTCTATCTATGAAACCTAATTTCCAATGGTCACAGCCTGCCTTATGGTCCTCGGAATATATGCAAATCTTTGCTCTAGCAGTTCAATAACTGGCAGTATTGGCTCTCCTGTTTAATTCAAATTTATCTTTTAAGGATCAACTAAAGTTCCAACTCTTTCATGATGCCTTTCAGACAACTTCAGCCCACACTGAATTCACTCCCCTCTGCTGCAATTAGTGGCAGCGATAATACACAGAGTACTAGTTCTTTATATGTTTCAGGTGCTTCACAAATAGATATATAGAATATGCTAGAAAAATTAAGAATTATTCAGGAAAGGCACTAAAAGGTAAGTTATTGAGGGACAATGAGGTGAGAACTGAAAATGTAATGAGTAACTTGTTAAATTGAAACATCAAGGGTCTCTTCTCTTTATGCTACTTGAGAAAATTTTATATTTTAGATAATGATTGCAAATTGATGACCAAGTACACTATTGAGACAAACTGCTTATCTACCATATATATGAAAGCCAGGAAATCATGTAAGTGCCCACCTACTAAATTTGTTTATAGAGAGTTAATTAAAGCGTCTTTTCTACCTGTTGCACCTGTTAATCATTTCACAGCACATTACCTTAGCTAACTGCAAGTGGTAGAATTAAACAAGTCAGACATTTTCCCTAATGAAAATGAAAAGTTGAAGTCTCTGATATTTTCTTCCACACTGACGAGTATTTGTTGCCACAGGTTGTCGTTATATCAAGGTAAATCTCAATACTAATTTACTCATACAGAACTTTTCACCAAAAGATAAGCTGCATGGTATCCTAGGGAAAAGAATGGTGGCAGGGTGGCTATTAAGAGTGAACAGGAATTTATCAGATGGTTCAGAGAGAGGCTTTGCGGAGAGAAGGAATGCAGGACAGAGAGATCTCAGAGTTTAGAAGGAGGGGCATTCCTCTGAAGATGAAACAATGGATCTTGAAGAGCAGAAAGTTTTCCGAAGTTGAAAAAGAAGGCTTGGCTAACATGAACCTCTAAGATTATGTTAACTTTACACTGTAGGCTTTATACTAAGCTTTTACCAAATTTTATACTCTAGAAAATGAGTGCCTAAGATAGCTTCTTAGTTGTTAGCTTTATTAAATTTGTGTTAGGAAAGGAACAATGATGGCAGTGGAAAGGAGAGACAAAAGGGGGTTGGACTGCTGTTAGAGAAGCTAGTTAGAACGCCTTGCTCTAGAATACATGAGAAATGATGTCTGAATGAGGCAGCGCAGAGAGAAAGGTTTACAGGCATCCAGGAGTTGGGGACAAAAAAAAGATAAGGCAGAGTAATCTAGGTTCTACTCAAAATGTTTCTGTTAAGAGTTCTCTCAACCCTACAGAGCCTTAGTTTTCTCAATAGAAGTATTTCCCTAGTGTGAGAGAAGCATGAAAGTAATCTGAATGAGAGGCTCTCAGGTACTCATCTGAGGCAGTCATTGACAATCTTACCATCCAACAATATTAGCAATCGCTAACACAGTGTATAGTATTATTTACCAACAACACAACATTAAGCATACACATTAACTGCTCAGAAGAGTACCAGGCACTTGTAACTGCTATGTAAGTGCTAGATATTGTACATGGATATAAAGCACTTTTAATCTTCACAAGAACAACCCTGTGGGATACTAATAGTATCCCTATGAAAAATGAGAAATGAGAAAACCGAAGAAAAGAGAGGTCCAGGAATTTGCTCAATGTCAAACAGCTATCAACTGGTGAAGCTATGATTTGAACCCAAGCAGTATGTCCAGAGTCCATGCCCTGAAGTACAACACTACACTGCTCCTTCAGAACCAGTCATGCTCTGAGATAGTGAAAGCCTTTCTATGTCGAGTCTCATTTGCAAATTATGGGGATACAAATGAAGAGAGGACACAACTAGGGACAGGACAGTCAAGGTTGTCCTAAGCCAGAGGTGATGTGCAAGTTTGAGGGACATGTTGTAAGGTCAACTTGGGCATAGTAAATAGTAGTTCTGGTTCAGAAGACACTGAATTCTCATAAAGAGGCACAGAATGGTGATGTTCAAACCATATTTCTGGTCTCTTTCTGGATAAATAAATATTTACAAGTAGGAAATACTGAGTTTAGCTACACTGAACACCAGAGTAGCTGTTTAACTTTTAGTGTGCTATTTTGAGTGGATGATTAAATATGCTTTTAAAAGTAGATTTTGTAATATTTTAGTCAATAATCTTCTCCCCTGTAATATACTTAAATGGTAATGATGCTTACTTACTTACTGTCAATTTAAGAGACCAGCTTCTATCAGAAACACCCAATGTTACAGTGAAATGTCCAGTATTTTTTAGTATCTGCGATTAGTTGTTACCCGGGAAATAACTTCTAATATATAAATGTATAAAAATAATTTTGTTTAGTAATTTGTTAATAGTATCTGATTTTGAGGGATTTGAAGCAAATTGACACAGGAAAACATTAAGCTGAACACACAGCTGGACCTCTGAAGTATCAATTTGCTGCTTTTACTTCAACAAAATGTTTTACTCACTTTAAAAAAAAAATAAAGCAATTTTGAAAACAGTTACAGCATACTGGGTTGTTAGACAGGAAATGTCACATACATAATAATGCTCACTATCATCAATTAATTTTATATTTTAGTTTTTAAAGTTTTAAGATTAAAAGTTAGTTTCCAATATCAGGATATTGTTTTGTGCCTCAAATGAACATACATCTTTTTATAGAAAATTACTTTAAATTGTGTATCATAAACTTGCTCATACAATCCCCTACTCTACTGGAAGTGACAGTTGAAAAAAAAATTAGTGGAAAAATATGATCTTCTAGACTGCAGTCCTAGCCTGAATGCCTGAAACCTTGTTACATATGCTAGGAACTGTGAGTTATTCAGCTGTTGTGTATCAAAATCAGTTTTGTTTTTATTTTTATTTTTTTGAGAAAAAAAGATATTTTACATTGAATAGCTCTAAGAGAAAAGGCAACCACAAAACATTCAGGGGTCAGAAATCTGGGTATGATGAAAATTTCAATATGCTTAATGTAGAAAGGGGGCAAATCAGATTTCTGATTCTTATCTTGCTAAAGACTCCTAATTAGGGATTCTTACACACAAAATAAAGGCTCCACTTTTTCTGGGGGTTTCTTAGGGAAATTATATAATAATGCATAATGTTAAACTATGAAGAAACTTCTCTGAAACCTCAGTGCATTTTGTGGTATATTCTTAGAGAAATACCCCAAGACTATACCAAAGCCAAGAACTATTCTTGGCCATACCAGTTCAGGGGCATCAGACGTTCTAAAAAGAGAGCTGTCTCTTCTCTTTGACCATGTCACCTGATGCTGGACCAGAGCTTCAGGAATTTCATATCTAGCCTATTTGTCCTTGACGTTTCTTGGGCTGTGTTTTGTTCAGCGATTTTGCGTGTGTGTGTGTGTGTGTGTGTGTGTGTGTGTGTGTGAAATTAACAGTCTGTCAATGAGACAATGAGCTTTTAACGTACAGCACATACTGTGTAAGCTCTGGATTGTGAGGGAGAGGTAAAGAAATTTTACTTATTACTAAGTTGTTTTTCCAAAGATTGAGAGTCCATCAAGTAGGTTTGTGTTGGCGAACATTTTCTCATTTGTCCTAACTGTCATGCGGATTTAGGCATCACCATCCCAGCTTTTGACAGATGAGGAAACTGAGGCTTAAGAAGCTTCCGTTACTTGACTGAGATCACCCTGTCAGCAAGGAAGAGGCTTTGATTTGAATCCAAAATGCAGGTTGCTACCACTACATTACAAAAGCCAGATGTCTGAGATTTAGCATGCATCCTTGTATTTGCAAATAAGGAAGAAATTGACAATCTGATGTCTCCAGTACAAAAAAAAAAAAAACCCAAATATCATTCTCCTTTGGGTACTGATTTACTGAAGGGATAGTTTTTAATTGCACCATAAAAATGCTATTGAACCACACTATCTTTAAAAAATTCCATTTAACTATGAATGATAGATTTATGACTCATTTAATTGTTCACTTCTTGAGATTTTGGGGCTGTCTCTTTGCTAAAAATGAGGGGGTGTCTTCATTATTGACACAATCGCTCATTCTTTCAGTCATTTTTATAAACAAAAATATTGAGACAGTATAAATTAGAGAGAGCATGACAGAAGAGAAAGAATAATTACTTGTGGTTTTAACATTTACACAACTGCTGCGAACACATCAGAAGTTCATAACGTTCAAAGTGAAATGTGTTGCACTGTACTGTACTGCTCTCACATTCTGCTTCAGATTTATTAATACATCCGCTTTACTTCCACCCTTGAGGATAGGAGCCCCGTGCTGGACATCTCTGTGAAGCCTACTGGTGTGCTCCCTTCACCACACATTTCATAAATACTACTGGAACTGCATTAAGCTAAACATTATAACCAGAAAGGCTAGAAAATCAAGAATGTAGATGATTATAACCATAGCTCACATTTATTAACAAGCACTTACTCTGGGGCAGAAACTGTGCTAGACCCCTTGCATCAGTTATCTCATTTAATTTTTACAACAATCCGGAAAAAGAGGAGTTTAACAGACTTTTCAAGGGCAATAGTGCCATCCCTAAAATAATTTGTATATCACATACTTTCCTTGGTTGTTTTATTTTTTTGAATATCTGCCTCTGGAATCTTTTCCCAAACTACTCCTTGGGCAAAAATTTTGGTCCATGGTTTTACGGTTTTCACTGAGTTGCTTAATATTAGAGCCAACTAAAGATTCAGTTTTCTTGATTGTTATGTAAATTAATGTTATAATGTTTGAATATGTAAACTGGCCATAGATTTAGTTTTCTCTTACTACTATATTATAATGTTCTATATTAGTATAGCAGGGCTTTTTCCTCCTTATACTTTAAATACAACATAATCGGTTCTTTATAATAACTGGAGGTGGTGGGTGGACTCTAAGGTCAAGAAATTGTAAAAAGAAGGCATAATGTCTAGTAAAATAGATAAACTTAAATTTGAGTTCAGTTAAAACAATTGAAATGGAGCAATAATAAATAAACACAGTGAACACTTAGCACCTTTTGGACGTATCAGTTGGTTATAAATTTAAACTGTTTATCCAAGGTTCTTGGTATAATACTTAAGTTTAACATAGCTAATGATCTTTCAAATATGATACTGTATCATGACTAAATATTCTTTGGATTGAAATTCAACTGAAACATACTATGTAAGTGTAACTGCAAAATTTAAGTGATTGGCAAAGGTTTGTCTAAAAACAGCAGATTATACTCTTGGCTGACAGCCTTGAAGCACCGAGTGAGAAAGTCCCTGGTAAGTAAAAAACTGATTTCCAAAAGAGGGGGTTTTTAACCAAATCCCCCCTTCAGCATCTGCTCTCTACTGATGCACAATGTCACATCACTGATGATTATGAAAAAAGCTTTCCTTTCTGTGTTATCTCCAAATAAAATCTTATCATGATGCCAAAGATAGGGAAGAGGAACCTAATAGGTGTATAAAGAGAAAAGACTGCTTTGAGAAAAAAAGACAAATTCTGAATAAAACTAGTATTTCAGGGGGAAATATTAACGGCTTGAATTTAATATTAAAAACAACCAAGGTTTTCTTATCCTTCACACTATTAGGTTAAATCAATGGGATATGAGTAAAGAAACCAATCTTCACAGTACTTTACTGTAGATATAGAAGGATAGAGAATAAAAAGGATACAATTTGTGAAGTCAGAAATCAGGATAAACAAAGGGCTCTAAAATCTGCTAAAACACTCTCTAGGAAGTTATAACCTAAAATTTTCTTTTTTTCCTCTGGAAATCAAACTCCTTAAGAATGAAGTCAAACCAAAGGGGTCGAAGGCATATTTTACAACATCCTGACTTAACCTGTAACATTTTTCATTTGTCTTGTCTTTGACCTGCCTTTCCCACTTCAACATGAGCCCCTAGAGAATGGTATCAAGGTAATGGTTTATCTATAATTTGCTTGGTTTTGTATATGGAAAGTGAACACTGATTTTCTTGGCAGTAGCTGCATACCACATGCTGTAGCTATCTAATTTGAGGACTAGGTTTTTTTTTTTCTTTAATCTTGATAAACTTGGTTTGGGTTAAAAATATCATTGTTACTTAATTTCATAAATAATAATAATAAAGCAATGCCGTTAGTTATTTACTTATGTTTTGGGTGAACTCCCAAGGTAAAACTGCCAATGAATTCAGAATTTTTAATTCAGAACAATTCAAACTAATGGAACAATACTTTCAAAACAGAACCCAACTATTAACCTAGATTTTTTTCATTTGCTGCTTAATAATATTTTAAAAATAATATAAAAATTATATCTTTATACTAACAATTAGTTTTCTTATTTGAGGGTAATTAAGTATCTTTCTCCCTTTCTTGAATATTGCAATCTTAAGTTATGTTTTCCTGGGCAACAAAAAATGCAAACTTGTTAAAGCCAACTTTTTAAACTAAATTTTTAACCACTTCACTGATATTTTAAGTCACTAAGTAAGAATTGCAGAGAAGTCTTTCTGGCCAATAAGAAAGTCAGCCAAGAAATTTTTGATAAGTATTCTTGAAAACAAATACTTGCAAAACAATGGTGCTGGTACAGAAAAATTAAGCATTGTCTGACCTTTCCTCTTTCCACTTAGTTCTATTTTGTAATATGCTAAGTTTTTTCTTTTTCAATGCTAGATGAATTACAAAAACATAAGCAAAATTTTATGATTATATTATCATAAAACATTGCGTGTAAATGGATTGTAAAAATATTTGTTTCTTATCTCCAATCTGAGTAAGTACTAAGTTCAAAGGTGCTGAGTCATGACCTAAGGTCTTGCTAGATGGAGTCTTTCCAGAGTCTGGAAACCAGATCTCTTATTCACTGCTCAATATTTATCCACGGCAGTACACTGCCACCATCAACTCTCCATGTATTTAGCTGACATAAATTAAGCATTCCAGAAGTGACAATGCTTGATAACCAAATGCATAAAATAGTCAACAATTAACATTCAAAATAAGAAAACAGATGTTAGTTTCTTTTTTATAAAATTATATCTAATTTACAATAAATGCCAATTAAAATTATTAACCAATATACATAAATCTCCTTTGCCTTACTGTCAAATAGCTATGTAGATTGTAAAATTATCTTAAATGTTCAAAGGAATTCCTAAAGGTTTTTCATTTCTTTTTTCTCTTTTTTTGATCTCAACTATGAATCAATAACTCCTTGAGCATACTGGTCCTTTCTACTCAATAAAAGGCAATCGTATTATCAAAGTGAAAACAAAGGATACTAACGGGATAGTGAATAATCCAACACAAGGCATTGCTCTGCTAATGGTTATTTCCATTAAATCTAATGACTACAAACAACCGAACTTGATCTTACCATCATCAATAACCACTCAGATTAGCATGTTAAAAGCTTTAATGTGGTCAGGCATGGTGGCTCACGCCTGTAATCCCAGCACTTTGGGAGGCCGAGGTGGGCGGATTGCCTGAGCTCAGGAGTTTGTGACCAGCCTGGACAACGGGTGAAACCCCATCTCTACTAAAATACAGAATATTAGCTGGGCATGGCAGCGTGCACCTGTAGTCCCAGCTACTCAGGAGGCTGAGGCAGGAGAGTTGCTTGAACCCAGGAGGCGGAGGTTGCAGTGACCTGAGATCACACCACTGCACTCCAGCCTGGGTGACAGAACAAGACTCCGTCTCAAAAAAAAAAGTTTTATAGAGTTATGACAAAATGTTATTTTAAAAGCAGTGACTTTTCATTTAGGTTGTTAAGAGGAAAGAATTAAGTAGTGGATGAATAACCATCAACTGAAACCTTAGAAAAGTCACTGTTACTAACTAATGTATTATAATGACTTGCTGTATATTTCTCTTATACCAAGAGTACAACTCCATCCTGCTACTTCTTTATTACCCTTTGTCTTCATCTTTGAAAGTATTTCAAGTTAAGTGATGATAAGAAGTTGTATTAAGAGGTGATTTGTGATGGTCTGAGATACCAACCCACATTTCATTTACTACTATATGTCAGCTCTTCAGGTTTTCCGTTAAGAATATTAGAGGAGTTAATGAAACTTTGCTTTATTGGCCCAGGGTACTCAGCCATTTAATCAAATGGTTAATTAAACATTCGTTGTATACTGTTTCAGAAGAATACATTATTTTTGTGAGTTACAGATCAAGGGTATATCTTTTTTTATTGAAAATTACATAATTTATTTGAAATGTTCCTTCTGGTTTACATCAACACTATTAAAACTTCATGGCTAGAAGATCTATTTTTCCCTTACTCAGCTAACAAACATTTACCAAGTATCTGCTGTGTGCTAACGCTTAGGTGTTAAACTGGGCATACAAACTGAATGAGAAAGAGTTTGCCTCCACAGAGCTGAGCGTCCTAGAGAGATGTGCCCAGATGTTGCAATCATAATGCAATGAGAAATGTAATGTTGGTACAGGCTACTATGTAAGCACAGGAAAGAGGTGCATAACTTGTCTGTTAGAGTCAGGAAAGGCTTTTCTCAAATGGCTGAACTGAATTCTGTGGGATGACAAAGAGTGCTCAATAGCATGAAGCAGAAGAAGGAAAGGCATGCTAGGATTGCATAGGTAAGAGTAAGCGGCCGTGACATTGCCAAGTGGCGGCACAGTGTAGCAATTAAGAGCACACACTGAGGCCGGGTGCAGAGGCTCACGCCTGTAATCCTAGCACTTTGGGAAGCCAAGGAGAGAGGATTGCTTGAATCCAGGAGTTCAAGACCAGCCTGAAAACCATAGCAAGACCCCATCTCTATAAGGAAAAAAATTAAAAAATTAGCCAGGCATGGTGGTGCATGCCTGTGGTCCCAGCTACTCAGTAGGCTGAGGGAGGTGGACTGCTTGAGACCAGGAGATTGAGGCTGCAGTGAGCCTAGATCGTGCCACTGCACTCCAACCTGGGTGACAGAGCAAGACACTGTCTCAAAACACACACATACAAACACACAGTATGGGACCTGACTACCTGGGCTCTTCCTTGTGCAATTACTTAATTTCCCTGTGCCTCAGTTTCCTAATCTGTAGAAAGGGCATAATGTGAACACTTAATTTAAACGACTATTATGAGAATGATGCTTTTTGTAGAGTGCACAGTAAGAGCAGTTTAGATGTCTACTGTTAGTAGAGCTGGAGGGCCGGGTTCTTGATAGCAGTGGCAGAAGGGAAGAAGGTTAAGGCTGGAGAGTAGGAATGGGCCTAGGGATAAGATATTCACTGTTAATTTTCAAAGAGAAGCCATGGCTGGATTTTTGGCATGTGAATGATGACCTACAGTTAGCTTAAGGTTTTAAGAAAGAACAAGCAGTCCTGGGGAGACTGAAGCAGGATGCAATATAAAGCAGGGAGATGAATTAGGATGTTCTAGAAACTTACTGGATGATGGTATGATGAGAAAAGGATGGCTCAGGCACTGGATGGGAAAGATGCTACACTTTATGATAAAACTGAGCTGAAAAAAAGCATGCTTACCTTTTTGGTCTTTTAGTATTTATAGGCACAAAATAAATGTTCAATTTACTTCCTTGCCTCATGAGACTCTCCCTCCCTCTCACTTTTTTTTTTTTTTTAACAAAGTGAGATGACTTGATTTAGAAAAAAACTGCAGCTGCTAAAAAGTAACGTAATTGCAGTCTCGCCACTTGGCCTCAAGAGTTTCAAACTTTATCTGAAACCTTGAATTTCAATGACAATATGCAAAATTTGGAAGCTATATTTTGGCCTTTTTGCTTTGGTTTTCTTCTCTGAAAATGTAGCAACATTCTGGCTGGCCTTGTTTTCCTCTGGTGTTATGTGATTCTCTGACATCAGCACGGATATATTCAGCCTGACATATGATACTGGTTGGCATGAGAAAGAAGGGGAAGATGGCTGAGTTTATGAGTAGGACATGACAGCTAAGCTTGAGACTAAGTGGCATCTGCAACAGGTGTTCCTTGGGACCAGAGTTAGAAAGGGCTTCTTCCTCTATTTTTAAAATATGGGTAACACTTTCACAGCTATATAGAAACTGTGAAAACTACATGCTCGTAGCTATAATATGCAATCAAGATATAATATTTATTATCACCAGGGTGGAGTAATTCAGTATCTTTCTTTTGGTTTTCTTCTATTTCTGAATTAGAAGATTCTCATACCTATGGTAGAGGTCCTGAGGTAAGAGGATGAATTTGCTAAGTGCATAAGATTTTGTTAGTTCAATGTTACTATATCCTACGTGTGTCAAACTTTTATGCCTACAGGATTGAGAGTCTTCTCTATCCCTAGAGGATCATTAAACTTAGCCAACTGTCTGGGAATTGACAATGACAGAATAATTGAACAACCAAACACTTTTTATTTTCAATATAGGATTCCAAAGCATTCTAGCTATTAAGCAGTAACAAGCCACTTCCATCAAAGCTGAGTAGGCCATGTTTTCCTCCACATTTTTTTTTTTTTTACTACTTTTTTTTTTTTTTTTTTTTTTTTTTTTTTTTTGAGACGGAGTCTCGCTCTGTCGCCCAGGCTGGAGTGCAGTGGCGGGATCTCGGCTCACTGCAAGCTCTGCCTCCCGGGTTCACGCCATTCTCCTGCCTCAGCCTCCCAAGTAGCTGGGACTACAGGCGCCCGCCACTACGCCCGGCTAATTTTTTTGTATTTTTAGTAGAGACGGGGTTTCACCGTTTTAGCCGGGATGGTCTCGATCTCCTGACCTCGTGATCCGCCCGCCTCGGCCTCCCAAAGTGCTGGGATTACAGGCGTGAGCCACCGCGCCCGGCCCTTTTTTACTACTTTTAATGACTTTCAGAACCACTACTAGCTGTTTCCATAATGGCAAGCAAATCGGTGCAGTGAGATATTGGGTAAAACATCATAACATCTAAACCATTTTTCTTATATTATATCTTGGTCTTTGTGACCACCCAATTCTCAGTCCTCACCATTCTTTCTAATCATAGTGTTTGGTAGAGACTTGGATCCAAGAAACATTGGTCTGGATTTGATCTGGTTCTCTCATTTTGAGGCTACAAACCACAAAGTATTTTTTGAGGGAAAAAATTTCATTTCCATGTCCAGCAAAATACTACGTGAGTTTACACACTAATTTGGCTCGACCTAATTTTCAAAAGATATATAAAATAGGAAGCTAGTGTTATTCATCTTGTTTGCTAATCACTGTGTAGGTCTAATACTTTTTCTTCATTATTCAGTGAATTAGTGAAGAGCCAGCATCAGAACAGAGAAACTCTACCCTCAAATAGATATATTTATAAAAATGTATTTGTAAACCAATTTTCTTTATCTTCTTTCTTATAATTAGCAGGCTATTCTACTTGACCCTGGCAAAATATTTTAATTAGGCTATCCATGTCTATTTCAATAAACTTGATTTTTTTTGACATTTCAAACATAACCTTGTGTCATTCATGCCTGCCTCCTACTATTTTAAATGTATAGCATGTTCCAGCTGCAGAAATTACCATGGTTACTTGTTATGCCAATAGTGAACTGCAGTTGGCATTTGAAAGTATTGTGCTATCTTGCCTCTGCATTGAAAATGACATCGATATCTCAATAATCTCAATATTACAAATTAACACGGAAACCTGGAGAAATGTGACTGAGACAATTATTGGTCACAGTGTAAGAAGTTCTTAGCTGAAATATATTTTAGGGTCTTTTGGGGATGCATTATATTCATGTTGTCTAAGAGCTCATTTTAATGCCAATGTGATTTTATTTTATTAACAGTATTGTTGAATAATTAAAATCTTAACCCCTCCTTTTCTTTATGTACTCTTCTTTAGAAATGCATAGAAGTTCAATACTTCTTTGGCTGGAAAATGATTCATATTTAATGTGAAATGATTAACAGAGAACACAAAAAGTATGGTTTGCTAAAGGTACTCTTGTGTCCAAGGATGGTATCCAGGATTAAGTTGATTGGATCAGAGCCCTTAATTCTCTGCTGACCAGTTGAAGCTTTATTAAGGAAGGTTCTAGTTAATAAATAGTTTTCTTCTAAGTTACTATTTAACCACTCCTGCTTCAGAAAAGTGCTTTAAAAATTCTTGGTGTCATTTTTCCATGCCTCTCACAGATCTCTTAACTTTATTTGTTCAAAAGACTTTGTCCTGCAAATCACCTAGTAGAAGAACTCAGAACAATGATACATACTGCAGTATGGAGTCTGGGCTTACCTGCACTGGTGCCTGCACCAGACGTGAGGTCTCCACCCATCAGACCACCTATGGATTAAAGAGGAAGATCAAAACGAGAAAGGCTAAAGGCCCACAGAACAAAACACTTTACCTTCAGCAACCTCAGTATTTTGTCCTCTTGCAATAGTCATAAACTTGTAAAGTACAACCCAAGTCAGATGGCTGACATTTGTTTTATTGTGCCATGCTGTGCTCAAACGTTAAAAATACATTCAATCACTGACATTTTGCAGAATCTTTTTTCTAAGAAAGTTACATTTAAAAAAATCCAGTCTTTGGTCTCTGCATTTTTATTATTTCTAAGTCTAGGTTTTCCCTAAGCAGATGTTTTATAGAAAGTGAAAGAAAGAGTAAGGTCTACTATATGCTCAGATGACCTCACATTTGATGTTTAGTTCTTTGTAAATATGTTTTATGCCATTAATTTTGTGCAATGTTAATTGTCCAGAAATTTGATCGTTTCATGAATCTACCCACATTTACTACTAAAATCTTATTGACTGACACAATATAACAAATTTTTCACCGGCCACAGATTAAGAAACATATGCTTATTCATTGCTAACTTTAGACAGTATGTTAAAATTTGGCAATGTTTATTTATGAGAGTCAAGATGTTTCAATAAGGTATTGAACATAAAAATTACTTTTAGTTTTGGGCCTGGCGCGGTGGCTCATGCCTGTAATCCCAGCACTTTGGGAGGCCCAGGTGGGCGGATCACGAGGTCAGGAGATAGAGACCATCCTGGCTAACACGGTGAAACCCTGTCTCTACTAAAAATACAAAAAATTAGCCGGGCGTGGTGGCGGGTGCCTGTGGTCCCAGCTACTCGGGAGGCTGAGGCAGGAGAATGGCGTGAACCTGGGAGGCAGAGCTTGCAGTGAGCCGAGATGGTGCCACTGCACTCCAGCCTGGGCAACACAGCGAGACTCCGTCTCAAAAAAAAAAAAATTACTTTTAGTTTTGAAAAAAACAACATTCAGCCAAAAGAATAATAGTGAGAATATCATCTAGATTTTCTAATTGCCTCTAAGTGATACTCTGTAATTATTAGTTGGTTCAGGTTTTGGAATTAAAAGAAAATGTTTGTTTATATATATACATATATATACACGATTTTTTTTTTTTTTTGAGACAGAGCTTGCTCTGTTGCCCAGGCTGGAGTATAGTGGCAGTAATATGGCTCACTGCAGCCTCAACCTCCCAGGCTCAAGTGGTCCTCCCACCCCAGCCTCTCGAGTAGCCGGGACCACATACACAAGCCACTGTACCTAGTTAATTTAAAAAAAAAATGTTTGTAGAGATGGGGTTTCTCTATGTTGCCCAGGCTGGTCTTGAATTCCTGGGCTCAAGCAATCCTCCCACCTCAGCCTCCTAAAGTGTTGAGATTACAGGCGTGACCCACTGCATCTGGCCTTCGTTACAGTTTAAGCAAATGTTTATTATTTCCAATCAGATAATATTTTGGAAATACCGTATCAAATTCAAAAAAATGAGCATGAGTTTATCAAATAGGAAAGTGAACTGCATTCTAGTATGATCTGAAAGGAATACATGTGGTTACTGAAAATTCATACGAAAATTTTCAAATATATTCAAAAGTCAAGAGAATGGCTCAATGAAGTCCTTTGTATACATTTCCCAGACTCAAGATTAAAATTTTTTATTTGGATGAATTTAACTGTATTTTCTATATAAAGCTTCTGTAACAAAAATAGTAATACATGTTTGGTTTTAATTGTAAGGCAGATATATAAGTATTCTACAGGAAAATTCCTCCATGAATAAACTATTTTCATACAGCTATGTGTATGTAGGATACATTAAAAATTTCCTATAGAGTACTTTTAAAAATATGAAATGCAAATATATAATGGTTTGCTGTATGTGACTTAGAAATACAATTATTTTTGATGCTGCTTCTGGAAACATAAAGGAATAATTTTGTTATATTCAATACGCATTGACTTGGTTCCTACTGTTAGTTTAGCAAATCAAGAGAACATTCTTCCCTTAAATGTTCTTTAAATCCAGTATCAAAATAGACATATATTAAATACAATTCATCATAATGTATTTTGATTGTTCTAAGTACTAAGAATGGATGAACTTTTTCTGAGAAATAATTTATTTTTCTCTTGGACACTGTGAATTGAACAACAGCAAGTAAAAGTGCAGAGACAAATTTGTGGCAGGTGTACATGTGTTTAATTAACTTCATTTCTGATTCAGCTTTGTTTTTATTTCACATGTCTTACAAATGATGCTATCTTATCATATTTCCTTTCTGCCTAAGTCCTTTGTGGGATAAGTTACTGTATAAATAAAAAAAAATTGACCCAAATAATAAATAACTAAATGGGATAAATACTATCACAGAACACAGGGGAAGGTTTCACAGAAGTGGTAGCTTGGCCAGGAGGAAGAGGGAAAATGGCATTTTAGGCAGGGAGGACGAGCAGAAGTAAAAGTGTGGAGAAAGGATATCTGACATCCTGTTTGAGAGTATGTGGTTAAAATATAGCCACAGGAGGAGATAGGTGACAGAATGAAAAAGATAAACGGCAGATTATGAAAGATTTCGAAAAACATACTAAAGAATTTAGGCTCTATCATGCAGGAGACCTAGCTCGGGGGTGGATGGTAAGCCATGAAGGAGAGTAAGTGGAAAACCAGAAAACATCTCGTAGATAAAGCAGTGTTGGCTTTGCCGAAAATGGTTCCTTCCAACTATTTGTTAGCATTACATCCTTATGAGGACATACCTGTGTTACCTGCACTTGGAGGTCGATGTGTTACACCAGGAGACATACTATTCCTCTGCAGAGAAGGGTGAGCCAGTGGCAATAGGTTGGGGTTTCCCAGTGAGCTGACAGGGTTGCTGTACACCAAACTGTTGTGGCTGGACACTGGGATGGAGACTGGCATCTCGAAGTTGGGAGGTGGAACAGCCTGCAGGAACAGAAAACAAAACAAAGGTAAAAGAAAAGAATTAATAACAGAAGCTCTTCAAGACAGACAGCCCTTATTTTTCCAAGAAAAATTCTACATTCCAAACTACTTTGTGTCTAGAAGACCATTAAGAAGAGCTCTCAAGACGTTCAGATCATAAATTGATTTCTTAAATGTGCTTAGAACTCCTTCTTTGCAACCATTAAAAAATGTTTCACTTTTGTTTAAAACAAAGCCCCATTTCATTAGACTCCATTGTCTTTGGATTCCATTCTATTAAGTAGTAATTGTTCATTTGTGATATCTGAATCTGGTGCCAGAAATGACTGCAAGATCAAAGGTGCCTGATTGTGATGACTTCACAGAGAAAAAGGATTAAAATGCAAACCGAAGCCTTTGATTTAATTGCTTATTGAAGCATATTTATGTAGAAGTTTAATGATAGAAAATCATCTCCAAGCATGTGCATAGCACATATACCTTAATTATCATTTTTTAAAGTCTATGTTTTAAAAGTAACTCTAAAGATAATAGGCATTTTAACATACAAGATTCAACAGAGCATGTATCATTCAATAATTCACATTTTGAAGTGGCAATTCAGAAAACACTATGCTTCATATTTTGGTGTGTACCGCCACTGACAAATGGCAAGACCTGTATCTCAATTGTGAAAGTTGGCAAATATTTAGTGAACTGAAGCTGTGTGGATGTCTAATTAGATTAATCCAGGTTTCAATGATTGATTTTTGAGTAATTATTTTGTCAATTTAAGCAAAATCATGTTTATGTTTCTGCTGTACTAACTAGATGAACATAGGAACATAATTGTAGCTACTTTTTTTTAAGCATTACGAGTAAAAATACTCTTTGAATATAATGCCAGAGAACTCATATGGTATCAAAACATATGGCATTCTTAATATAAAATGGACATATATATGGAATAGGATTTATAGAAGGCATTAAGGCATTCCCTTGGGGGTTCTCAATAAGTTATTGTGCAAATTTAAATGCATATGTGCTTGAGGCTCAGTTGGTTGTTTTTTTTGGTCCCATTTTGTTTTTACTATTGTTTGCCCTTAGTGCTGACATCCACTTTCTGTTACTGTTTGGTTGGCTGGCCTGCATCATACATCTTTCTGTGTAATATTTCTCTGTTTATCTTGGTGATGATCACAATACTTTTCTTTGTTTATGTTTATGCTCCCTTATTATTAATTTCCCATTTTTCTTTTCTTCCATGTTCTGGACATGTCAATCTTGACAACAGCAAATGCTTTACATTCAAAACTCTTTTCTTTCACACATCTTTGATTTTTCATTTGTATTTTATTTCATATTTACTTTTATTATTATATTATTATTTTTAGACACAGTCTCACTCTGTTGCTTAGGCTGGAGTGCAGTGGTGCCATCTCTGCTCACTGCAACCTCTGCCTATCTGGTTCAAGTGATTCTGCTGCCTCTGCCTCCCAAGCAGTGGTTGGCATGTGCCACCACGCCCAGCTATTTTTTTGTATTTTTAGTAGAGATGGGGTTTTGCCATGTTGCCCAGGCTGGTCTTGAACTCCTGAGCGCAGGTGATCCGCCCACCTCGGCCTCCCAAAGTACTGGGATTATAGGTGTGAGCTACCACATCTGGCCCAATCTGTCATTGTTTTAGAGGGAAATAAAAATGTTCAAGTGATATAAGTAATATGGTCAGTCTTTATTAGGATTTATCTACAGTAAACAGGGGAAATAATTTTTGGATAGACATCATGACATAATGGAATATAAATGTTTGATAAGACATCAAATAATGAATTTAGCCTTACATGTCCAGCCCCCTTTTAACAACAAAAAATCAGCATATGCTGTAAAGTCGAAGTCTATAGCATGAATAAAATATTGTATTTCTTCATTAAAAGGCCAAATAAGGATTGCTCTAGCATACCCAAGAAAACAAAGTAAAGTGATTCTACTAGGTATATTCTCCACTTGCTCCATCCAGACCCACCCTCTAGCCCCTTCACTGTACTGTGTGCCCAGGAGCTGACCCTCCAGACTGCATCAACCAGGCTCTCCTGCCCTCTGGCTTCCCACTGGTCAGTGGGGGAGGCACCAGCAACAGCACAGAGAGCAGGAGGGGAGCAAAGTCAGGGTATTTTTTTATAGTGGCATCATCCTTGCTGGGCCACAGGCTGGCTGAGGCTGCGTTTCTCTAGCGAAGACCCCATCTCTTTTTGAGTTGTTCTCTCCTATACACATAGATCTTGCTGTGATCTGGTACTTTTCCCCTCCACTTACTCTTTCAGATCTAGAGATAGGAACAGCTTCTAGGTTGCAAGCCCTAATGTACTTCATTATTCTCTCAGGTTTTCCTTAACTCTACCCATCTGTAAACAGTCCTTTTAACAAACTGTCTTCAATTACCCTTTAGAGTTTGCCATCTGTTTCCTGCTGCAACCTTGGGCCATAATAGTAACTCTCTAGATCTAGAACACTGGTACTCTACAGGGGTGGGACTGTCTCCTTAGGGAGCATTTTGGAAATCTGTTGGACTATCTTTGGGTATCAAAATGACTGGAGGGTGTGACTATTACACTGGCTCAAGCAGTGCCATCTCTTGCCTAGATAACTGCAGTCACGTCCTAACAGATTTACCTGCTCCGGTCCTTGCCATCCTTTATATTTTCAAACCAGAAATTAGATTGACCCTTTAAAAGCTTAAGTCATGCCAACACTCCTCTGCTCAAAACCCTGTGAGGGCTCTCATCTTAGAATAAAAACTCAAGATGAGAATTTTTTTCTTCCAAGGGTCCACAGGCCCTATTAAGCTCTAGCTTTTGCCAACCTCCGTTATCTCATCGCCTAACACCTTCTGCCTCCCTGCCTCATTTCCATGACGAACTGCATCACCTCCTTCAAGTCTCTGCTCAAAATCTGGCCTTCTCTTGGAAGCCCACGCTGACCACCCTATTTAATCCTGCAATTTGTCCTGCCCCTTGCCCATATCCTGATCTCTTTCTCCTGCTCTTCTTTCTCCTTGGTTATAAAATCATTTATGATGTTGGTTAAATAGTGCCCTTTTGCTGTGAGGCAATGCAGAGCCTACTCTACTTCTTATTATACGAACTTAATATTTTTCTTCAAAGGAGAATTTTTAGGAAGACACTCTACTGACACAAAAGTAAAGCTTCTATTTACTGTATATTACTTATTGAGCAGGCACTGTGCTGTATAGTTGACATACATGATATGATTTAACCTTTTAAACATCCCTTGACCATAGATATAATTCTTTCCTTTTCAAATTGGTAAGTTAAGTAAGTGACCCAAAGTCATCTAACTAGTGACTGAGTCTGTTGCTTTTGCTACCAAACACTATGCAACACAGTATAAGTTTTTGGATAGAAATAAAATACTGTAGTCAGAAATCATTCTGTTAAGTGAATAAGGGCTAGATATTAGCAGTTTATTATCTTTGGACCATGTAAATAATAAACTAAATGGGTTCTCATGAAATGTGGGTGAGTATCTACACTGGAGTGTCTCAGGTTTTAGGAAAAAATAAATCTTAAAGACTCCCCTTTTCCATATTTGCTTAGAGTTTGTATTTAAAGCCATCTCTGGGCTACAAATGTTTTAATTTGAATTCACTGTTACTACTTATAAATGTTTAACTGTTAATAGGTATCTAAGGATCTGCTATAAAACTATATCTTCCCTGAATATGCTATAGAATGTTGGTTGTGTCTCATTAGAGAGCAAAGCCCATATCCCCTCACCCTTGGGTGATTATATGCACATCCAAAATAAAGAGGATTATTAATAATTATGTAATGAGTTCAGAACCATCCAAACAAGCAGGTCAGTGAAAGTCATTCTACTCCTTCCTTCCTCTGACTATTATCCCCAAGAATTAATTCTTCAGCTTCTAGAATTCTGGATCAGAAACAACTGGATGATAATGATTATTATAAAACTACTTTGTGATTGGCTAAGCAGTCAAATATAATTATGGTATCAGAGTATAGTTGAAAATTTCAAAATTCATAAAATATACCAAGATCATTTGTATTCTATTAATCTTTTGCTTTACCTGTATCAAGAACTACCTATAATAATTTTTTAAAATTTAATTTTATTTTAGATACATGTGCATGTTTGTTACATGGATATATTGCATACTGGTGGGGACTGGATTTCTAGTGTACCCATTACCCAAATAGTGAACATTGTACCTAAGAGCTAATTTTTCAAACTTCACCCCGCCCTGCTACCTTCCCCCCTTTTGGAGTCCCCAGTGTCTATTATTTCCATCTTTATGTCCATGTGTACCCATTGTTTAGCTCCCACTTCTAAGTGAGAACATACGGTATTAGATTTTCTGTTTCTGAGTTAAAGGAACTATCTATAATAATTTTGAAAGCAAATTATAAGCTTAAAAATGAGCACACTGAGAAGATATTTTAGAGAATCAGAATAAACACTAGCCTTTCTATCAGGAATCTCAGTTACAGTCCAGGTTATGTAATAAATTGCCATCTAACCAGGCAGGTCATTTAATCTCCCTTGACCTTGATTTTCTTATCTAAGGCATGAAATGGTTGTATCTATGAAGAGATGAAGCTGCTCTAAACATTTTAGGGAATGCAAATGCTATAATCACATATAAATATTTCTAAGAAATTGGCATTATTCTTTTTCTCCTTGACTTTTCAAAATTAGGAAACTTGAAAGCATCTACATTTAAACAATTTTTTTTTTTTGTCTAAAAAATGAAAGCCAAAAAGTAGTTAAAAACACCAAACTTGCAAAGACTTCAGGGCCAGGCTCCAACTTTTACAAACACTCAAGATAGGAAGAAAGAGAGAATTTGGGGTGATTAAATGAAATGCTGTCAGCAGAACTGGCTATGTAATTTGCAGGGCCCAGTGCAAAATGAAAATGTGGGGGCCCTTTTTAAAAAAGTATTAAGAACTTCAAGACAATGACAGCAGAGTATTTAACCAAGTGCAGCCCTATGAGAACAGGGCCAAGTCGAGGGCCCATGAAGCCGGTCCCAGCTTTGAAGGACACAGACATGACAGCTAAAAAACTTTTAGTTTCTATCCCTGAACAAAGTGATCACGGTTACTGTAGTGAGTCATAATCAGAAAAGTATCTGAACTCTCATCCAAAACCCACTATTTTCCCAAACTTACCACAAGGAAAAGTCCAATAAAAAAATCAAATAAAATAGTTAAAGTAAAATATTTTTAGTTAATGGGCCCTCTTTTATTTAATGTGAGTGATTGAACTGAATCTTCCCCCCACCCTTTTTTTGCCACTAATGACACCTTTAAATTTTGATTAACCATTACCAGCTGCTGGGCTGTAGTAGAGGAAAAAAAAAATCATACAACTCTGATGACTTGTGAGTACCAATGCTGGTTATCTAAATTCCCTCAAGGCTGCCTGACAAGTCTATCATGGACTTGTTCATTCCCTCTCCAACTCCTATTCCTCATGATGTCTAACTTCTCGGTCCTTTTTCAATCACCTGCTTCCCCCTTCCCTAATTAACTACAGAAGCTAAACTAAATACATTAAAAAACAAAATAGCCAGGCATGGAGGCTCACACCTGTGATACCAGCACTTTGGGAGGCCGAGACGGGCGGATCACTTGAGGTCAGGAGTTCCAGAACAGCCTGGCCAACATGGTGAAACTCCATCTCTACTAAAAATACAAAAACTAGCCAGACCTGGTGGCAGGCACCTGTAGTCCCAGCTACTTGGGAGGCTAAGGCAGGAGAATCACTTGAACATGGGAGGCGGAGGTTGAGGGGAGCCAGGATCACGCCGTTGCACTCCATCCTGAGGCACGGGGTGAGACCCCGTCTCAAAAAATAAAAAATAAAAATAAAATAAAATAGAGGTCATTATATGGTCACCTACTCAGCGTAATTCTACCCAGCTACCACCTTAGCTACACCTGGCTCCATCTGTAACACCTTCTTGTTTAGGTCCCATCCTCCTTCCCTTCCTTGAGAGGCTTTGCCATTCTATCTCCATTGTACCTGTATGTTCAATCTTTTCCTTCCTCCAAGCACTTCTCCTCTGCATGTAAATAATCTCAAGCGCTTTCATTTTAACTCCTCCCTTGATCCTACATACAACATTATTTCTCTCTCTTCACAGCCCATTATTTTGAAGAAAATACATACTGTTTCTTTCCACTTCCTCCCTTCCCTTTTACTCTCAACCAACTTGCACCCGCCTCTCATTCATTCAGCCCCTTTCCTAACTTCTGCTGGTTCCTCAGACGGAGGTGTTTTCTCTTGCTGTGAAGCCCAGCATGAACCATGGCGAACCCAGCATGAGGAAATGCTGCTCGACACAGTTCCAAATCACCCATGAATTATTTTATGTAATTGAGGAATATGGGCATAAATTACAATATACTAACAGGTGACTGCAATATTAAATTTTCTGTTTTAAAAGGGAAACTCTTCAAACTGGGTCTTCGAAATAGAAAAACAGTCTTGTAATGTTTTTAAAGAGGTGGAGACACTCTCTACATACAAAGGGCAGAGTGTCCTTGCCCTGCTGTAAATGTTTTAGCAGCTGTGGAAACTTTCAACAAAATTGACTTCCAGCAACTCAGAGCGATGTGCAAAAACTGGGCTTTTCATCGTGAAGACTGAAGCACTTACTAAAGAGATGGAGACTCTGTGGCATAGCTCGGAGCTGGGTGGCTCCTTCTCACAGCTCTGCCCGTAAACTCTAATGTGGTTTTTCAGCCCCTACCACACACCACTGCACCCCTTAAGAAATCACGTATCTTGATCTTGAACTCTTTACGTAACAGGCTGAAATCCTGTGAGGGAATACAGGTGTGTATTACATGTCTCTCTCCCTAAAGTATGAGAAACAAGATCCAATGTGCATTCTTCCAGAACTTTAGGGGTTAAAACTCCACCTATATGATCGCTTCCATTGAGTGATCAGCAGTACTGCATACATCTGTCTTTATTCCAACTGTGCAGGGGATTCTTACTATCTGACACACCTAAGGTACTCCGCCTTAACATCCTACACTTACAAACCTTAATGCACAGCTGCTCCACACCAATGTATTATATAGCAAGATAAACTCAGATCATAAGAACTAAAAATTGGCCCAAATGGCGTGGCGCAGTGGCTCACGCCTGTAATCCCAGCACCTTGGGAGGCCCAGGCGGGTGGATCACCTAAGGTCAGGAGTTTGAGACCAGCCTGACCAACATGGAGAAATTCCATCTCTACTAAAAATACAAAATTAGCCGGGAGTGGTGGCACATGCTTGTAATCCTAGCTATTCGGGAGGCTGAGGCAGGAGAATTGCTTGAACCCGGGAAGCAGAGGTTGCGGTGAGTGGAGATCGTGCCATTGCACTCCAGCCTGGGCAACAAGAGTGAAACTCCGTCTCAAAAATAAAAATAGATAAATAAAAATAAAAATTGGCCCAAATGAGCCGCTTCTTTTTTTCTTCTAGGCAAAATAAAATACCAATGGATATTTTATTATTTAATAATTCTGGACATAACAAGTATGCATGGCTACATATAATACTAAATACTCCATTTCATAAAGTGCCCACTATGAATGTGTGCATATAATAGTTTTATGAAACCCTTAAGAATTTATAGCACTTAGCTTTCCTTCATGATACAGTGTATTAATAATTCTGATTCAACAAAAGTTCTACTGCTGACATTTCATTTAACAAAAGAAGCAGATAGGTATTTATAAGGATAGAAATTTTAATATGCACACATTTTGTAAATAAGTTTTAAAGTGTTCAATTTAATTCAATTCAGGTTTGAGTGTGCAGCTACTATGGTAAAGTATTAATTTATCTTGTGAGTGCAGTTGTGAATTTGGCCTCGAACTTTGTCCCCACATATCTGCACTTGTAATCACCAAAACATATTTTCACTTCAGTCTCTCTCATTTCTCAGGTTTAGGCTGTTTTGCTAACTTACAAAAAATGAACTTTTTTCAAAAGGAACTGATTGCCTACTGAGGAGCTTGTATACAATTAAGGTTCAGACACTAACATTAGTTATTTAGAAGGTATGTGAGCCTTGGGTTTCACCCCTTTCAGCCACAAAATTAACATTATTTGATTGATGACAGAATCTAATAAAAAGTATGTACTTTCCTCCTATATATGTGGACAACAAAATAATACATGCAGTTATTTCTCTTAAATATCTGGCAAGGCATATGATTGACTGTTAGAATTTTTTTCATTTGGTTAAAACAAAAATTAGCCAAATGTTAAAGCATGGAAAATGTTGGTGGCAAAGCGGATAATATTCTGATAAAGCTTTAAAATCACCCCAGCACACAAACATGTTGAAATCTTACCATTAGGTTTCATGCAGTCTGTTCCCTGCAGCGAGCATTAGCTTTAACCCTTCAGTGCTGTTGTTGAATTTCATGTATAGGGAGAGGGGCTGAAGTTTTATTCAGAAATCAGCTTTTATTTAGGTGATGATTGTCAGTTTACATGAAAGAATTGCTGACCCACTTGAGTATCTGCTCTTAGCAAACAATGTATAATCTATGTATTTTATAGCAATTCTCAAACTTGCTTGGAAGGAGGTTCCAGTGTTTTACTCATGTATTGTGATTTGCATGGACTGTGTGTTTAAAAGATTGTGTAAATTTACGGTGTGTCTCATAAATCTTTCTCTTCCTGCTGTGAACTGTTCTACCTCAGAATGAACTTTTCGATGGCAACTCTGTTAGATTACATAATCTCAGCATCCTTTAGGGTTTGCTTTCTAAATGAGCTGCCCGTGGGATGAGATGGCTATTTATCTGTTTGACTTTCCGAAGAGTCTTAGAGAAAGCCATCACTGAGAGGGTTAAGGTATGTTACTGCAGCAGTTATCAGCAGACCAGCCATCTACCTTTGGTACTTACAGGAATTTTATGACTCTTGATCATATTATCAAATTCTTCATTAATTTTTTTGTATTTTTCTTCAGTGCGTGGGGTGAGTGCATAAGAGGAGTCGGGATCGGGGCTTTCACAGCCTTTGTTTTCTTTCTTGTTCAATGCCTGCCAGGTTCAGAGAAATATCAAGAGTAAAAAAAATGAAGGGTGTTCTGAGTACTTACACACAATCTTTGCCTGCTGATCATTAGATCAATATCTTCGTTAATTTTCCTGTACTTGTCCTCAGACTCAGGGCTGTGACCTACGGAATCGTCCGCATCGGGGTCTGGGCTGTCACAGCCATTAAGGCCCTTCTTTCTCAACGTCTGAAATACATAATTTGGAAAGTTCAAACCTAGACAAAGGCTGTAAGAGACATTCAGGGGCATTAAAGAAGTTCAAGCTGTCCAGTATTTCAGGTTATTACATATGCTTTATTCTATTAGGGAAGAGAAACCACAGATGAAAGCTGAGTCATTTCAATCGAGTGCTCATCAGCAGTTTAAAAAAATAAAAGCGAAAGATTCCTCTTGCAACTAAATTCAGTCAATGAACAGAGGGTATAAGGACTCAAGTTTCATGATACAGAATTCTTACGTGCTTCAAATATCTAGTGAGAGACAATTACAGCAGAATACAATTAAGGTGGCAAATTGCAACACTCTCTTCCCACAGAAAAATCAGAAATCAGGACATTACACAATGATTTCCGAACCTGTGATGATGACAAAAGCAGAAATGTTGGAAACAGATCCAAGTGTGAATTTAAACTAATGGTTGGCATTAGTGGTGTCCTGTCCCCACAGCCTCCACTTCTGATGTACTTGACAGCTAAAGGGTGTAAGAGAACACAGCTAATATCCCCACCAAGCATCGGTGAAGAATGCTCAGACGCTGTGCTTATATGGAGAACTACTTTTGTTTGTTAGGGTTCTATATATGTGAAAATCTTATCAAAATTTATAATACTGAGAAGGTCTCTTCCTAAACACAGGTGGAAAGAAAAGTGAAAACAGCTGAGCTGAGTAAGGAAGACGAAGAACACTGAAAACAGGTAACCAAGTCAATAACTACCAAACTAGCAAGGGTTCCTCCTAGTTTTTCAGCTGAGTAGGAATCACCCTGAGACTGACACATGAAAGTAAAAAGTCAGTGCCTCATCTTGAACCTCCTGTCTCCTGGATGTGGGTCTGGTCTAGTCTCAGCTGTCACAGAAGAATAAATACTAATGTAACATTGTAACAGAAAAAGTATAAGTTAGGAGTCTTGAGTTTTACTTGGTTTTTTAAATTTGAGACAGGATTTTGCTCTGTCGCCCAGGCTGGAGTATAGTGGAGTGATCTTGGCTCACTACAACCTCTGCCTTCTGGGTTCAAGTGATTCTCCTGCCTCAGCCTCCTGAGTGGCTGGGTACATCACCATGCCCAGCTAATTTCTGTATATTTAGTAGGGAATGGGTTTCTCCATGTTGGCCAGGTTGGTCTCAAATTCCTTGCCTCATGTGATCTGCCTGCCTCAGCCTCCCAAAGTGCTGGGATTACAGGCTGAGCCACCACAACCTGGCCTGCTTTATTATTATTATTTTTTTTTACTAACGGTTGTCAACTTAATTGTATACAATTCGATTTACAGAGATAATGTTATGTTTTTAGAGATCATAAAACTTCTGATTAATCATAGTTTGTCATGTTAATTATTAATAGACTAGCAACATTTCTGAATTTTCCTGGTACCACCAAGATCCGTTATAAAGAGATGCATACCTAAGTGTCTCTCATTAATGGAAAGTTCAGCAGAGCTCATCTTTATTAAAGACAGAATTCACATACAAATAAAGCAAAAGCTGTGACATCAAGCTAAGGAATTCAAAGCTGAGATAACACCCCATCTTTAATTCATGCAATTGGGGAAAATAAATAAAACAACATGAGTTAAAAAGGGGGGTGTCAGTCTTAAAAATCTAAACTCCTTGGCTCTTATCAATGTGTAACAAATGTAACATTATTTAAAATTAGTTTCTGAGGCACTGAATATTTTCACTTAAAATAAAAAATCAAGAAAGCTATGATTTCTAATATATCTGGGATACACAGTGGCTCTGTAAATATTTATTAATGTTATAGTGGTATAATATAACAAATAAACATATGGTTACAGCTTATTATGTGGTAAAATGTTTGAATATTAAAATGAATATTTTGACACAGCATGATAAAATATACATTTACAATCTTGGGGAATTTATAATTGGTGGGGCCACCTGTCCCCTTATCTTGGATCTACAGGCATCATTTTTCACTCATAACAAGTACTTTTAGAGACTTTCTACAGTAATACTATAAAGAACATCACAATACATTAGAATAATAATTTTATTTACTAACTTAACTTCCTGTGCTTCATACTCTTTTCTTATTATCTCAACCACAAAAACATTCTTCTGGCTGATAACTATTGTATTATGATGTGTTTCTGCTTTGATCTCTGCATATCTTTGAGCTTTTAAGAATACTTTCTGATTGTTTTTGCATTATATTCCACATATTTTTCATTAGAATTCATTTGTATAGAGAAAAATATGTCAGATCAAGAAAATATTATTTGATATTTTTCAAAAGTTATCTATAAGACATGTTAAAAATATTCTTTCTTTCTTTTTTTTTTTTTTGAGTCAGAGTCTTGCTCTGTTGCCCAGGCTGGAATGCAGTGTGGCGTGGTCATAGCTTACTGCAGCCTCCACATTGTAGGCCCAGACAATCCTTCCAACTCAGCCTCCTGGGCAGTTGGTACTACAGGTGTGTGCCACCACACCTGGTTAAAAATTATTTTTGTAGAATCAGGGTCTCATTATGTTGTCCAGGCTGCTCTTGAACTCCTAGACTCAAGGGATGCTCCTGCCTCAGCTTCCCAAAATGCTGGGATTACAGGCATGAGCCATGGCACCCTGCCAATAATTTTCTTATATAAACCTTTAATTTAAAGCCTTCCATAATGTTAATTTATAGTCTTATCCAGGCAGTAGATTTTTCAGTGTGCACCCAAATCTTTTAACCAATAAATCTTATTGTAAAAATTATAGTTGTTTTGATATGCAGATTTCTGACAACAGAATGCAAGGGTGAGGAGAGGCCTATCAACTGTCATTACAATCCATCTGGCACATACATGTGTGCTAAATATTCTCACAAAGCTTTCAGGGGGTAGATATTGTGTTTGGTTTATAAAAATTCAAACATCAATTACACTTTGTTGAAAGATCTCCACAAATATTAACCCATTATCTCTCACAAGTCTTCCATGAAGAGATTAGGTAAACCTATGCCAGGTCTCAAACCCATATGGCCAAGCATGATGGTCCAAGGTCAGTCAACGAGTATTTGCCTCCTGCCTGGAGACAGTGTGGGGCCTGACTTTCCCCTGCCCGTTTTCCCACCCGTGTGAAGTGATGAGTGCAGACTAGATCTCTCTCACTCATATGTAACTATAGTTAGGACACTGGACGCTGAAATAAATGAAGTAGAAATTGTCCAGGCGTGGTGGCTCTCGCCTGTAATCCCAGCACTTTGGGAGGCCGAGGCAGGCCGATCACGAGGTCAGGAGTTTGAGCCAAGCCTGGCCAGCATGGTGAAACCTGTCTCTACCAAAAATACAAAAAATAAGCCAGGCATGGTGGCGCACGCCTGTAATTGCAGCTACTTGGGAGGCTGACACAGGAAAATCACTTGAACCCGGGAGCCAGAGATTGCAGTGAGCCGAGATCACACCACTGCACTTCAGCCTGGGCAACAGAGTGAGACTCCATCTCAAAAAAAAAAAAAAAAAAAAAAAGAAGTAGAAATTTTAAAAAATTAGGCTGAGGGAAAATTTCAAGTATGAAAATAGAGCTAAAATATTGATTTTCTTAGATGTCAAATTTTAGTCAAGAGTTGGAATGCATATTGGTCAATAAAACACATCAGTTTATGAATGAAAAAAACCAATTAGGTCAGTGGCTCACTTTGTACCTGAAGAATTATATAAACTATTAAACAAACAAGGCAGGTGGCATGGAGTCACAAAGGAAATGGCAGTGATGAGAAGGAAAAATGTGGCTCATTTTCTCCCAATACATTCTTCTTGTATCTGACTGCATTATCTTGCTATGAATATCACCCGAATCTAAGTAATGATTCAAGTTAAATTGTGTTATTTAAAAAAGAGCATTTTGAGATATACAAACACAAAGCTGAAGAGCAAATTAATATTGAGTTCCAAATTCCCATAATCACATAACCAGAAAGAACATTGAAAAAAATGTTCAAAAATATTATCCTCAGCTGAGTGCTTGTATAACACATTTCTGCCAAGAACAAATGATTATGGTGGAATTATAAAGCTCTGAAAATGGAAGTGATGGCACAAACTTGAATATCATAGTGTGAATGTGGAACTATAAGAGCAGTTTTATCTTTATTATATTAAAAATCTACAGCTGTTTAATGATAACAAAAGAATTTCTGTTAGATTCAGCCAAGTCTGTCTTTATCACAGTAATGAATAGTCGATATGAACGAAAGGGCTGACTAAATGGATAAATAAGCATTATTCCTTCGGGCCCTTTTCTAGCAAAATCAAAATCTCTGCTGTTGGCCTTTGAAAGCTTCTCTGATCTTTTACAAGTGTCACTGGTCAGGTAATGTAGGTACTTCAATTGTCATTCTTTTACAGGGGCTGGAAGTCCTAAATGTATATACTGTCTCTCAGCTGACTGACTACGTTTTGAAAAGATTTATTCATGTATGTCAAGATAAGGCAAGAGATCTCCTAAAACCACCAGCTTCTCTCCTTACGTATCTGAAGAAACTCTTTCCTCAGAGAACTCAAGTAAATCTTGAGCAAGCCTGTATACTGAAGTCAGCTTTCCACGTCAGAGTGACACTGTTGAGGTAGATCCATCAACTACAGAGGCTTCTGGGATATTTTCACAAGACAGCGATTGTCATACTGTGAGCTGAGAACAGCCGTTTCCTAGAGGAGTAATTAGATTGACAGAAGGTGACATATTCCAAGCAATAAATGGGAGAAAGAGTCCAGACAGGTAATCCAAAAACCACGTGGAATCTTTCCTCCCAGACATGTGGACATATGGACCCTGCATTATTCCATTTGCTCATCGGAAAAACTTGAAATACGTACAAACTGATGATGATAGGTGACAGGTGCTTCAAAAATTCTAATGAAATAGAATTTCATTAGGGGAACAGATTCTATTTCGTTACTGAAAGGAATATAAATGAAAAAGAATGCTACATGGAGCTCTCATTTCTTGTTTTAGGCATTACGTTATCAACTAGAAAATCCTTTTCTTATGCAGTGATTAAAACTGATTTTTCCCTTCTTAAATACTATTTTGTTATTTAAAAAATTTTTTCCTTTTATTCTTTCAAAAATTATCTCGTTAGTAAAAAGAAATAAGTAAATTATTGACCTTTTTCGATTATATGAAGCTGTATTTTTATATTAATGCTATTTAAGTAAAATTCAGCTTTTTTTCAGAGAACCACCATCACAGACTAAAAGCTTTCAACCACTCAATTTCTTTACATGTCTGCAGTCTCAGTCCTCAAGAATGTATATTTTCATCATCATCCTTTTCCTGTGCCTGCCCATTCTACATGCAGAGAAACCTGGAGAAACCCCCAAATTACTCCTATTAACCTTTGTTAAAAATCCAAGTAATCACACTTTGTTGCATAGGTAGTGTGATCTTTACTTCAGAGGGTTGATGTGTCAAGAACACATGCAGGAATTATTACTATTAGTTGCATCAATGTCATGTTCACACAAAAACCAAGAAAAAAAAGCATCAACTTAGAAAAGGTAGTTTCCTTTCCTCTGATCCTGAATCATTTTTTTGCTTGTCGTTCACAGCTTTATGAAGATAAGTATCTACTCTTAACAAGCTGAATAATCTTTAGAAAGTAGTAAATTCATGTAGGAATAGGAAGTGCAGTTGAAATGAATACTGCCTATAAATTGAGTTTCTAAGAATATTTCCTGAAAGTGTTTCCATATTGGTGTGCTGGTACTCACGCTGCTGCTGTTTCCTGACCCTTTAGTATCTACAGAGAGGTGCTTTGAGGACTGTGCCCAGTGCCTTACTTCATTTAAAATTTATTCGGCAAACAATTATTGAAAACCTACCATGTGCCAGATACTGTTTTGTACGCTTATGTGTTAGGAAAGCAGCCAAATTTAAAACTAAAAAGCTCTGACCTGACTTATAACATTGTATGGTTTTTGCCTTAGGCTGAGGGAAGATTAGATGCCAAGAAATTTCTCCACAGGTTTTAATAAAACTGTAAGCATTGTCTATACTATCTCTCCCTGTAGTACCATAGTCCCTTTTCTTTGTTCTTATTCTAGAAATGAAGACACATTAATATATTAAATCTAGTATAATCAGCAGGTAGACTTTAATTAGGCAAGCAAATCATATCCAATACAGAGTACAAAAAGTTAGATTTTAACAAAAATTATTCACTTGTGGTAAAAATTTTAATAAAAAGTTGAAAATATAAAACTGTACAATACTGTATTTCTCTAGGTTATTTATTAATGCTCATTCTAGCCAGATATCAACTTCTACTGGGGAAGGGGTGGATGGGGTTGGATATTGTCATTGTTTTTATTTTTATATGCTTCCTCAAAAGATAATCTTAATATTGGAGCTGAAATTTTTTTGACTGAATCATTTTCATCTTCAAATAATGGAAATAAAAGACACACTAATTAAAGATTTGAAAGCCTTTTCATGTATTGAACACAAGGAAACATCCACCAACTCTGTCTTAAGGGCCACAAATTATTTGACATAAACATTCAAATGGTGCTAATTATTGATACTCTAGTCTGGATGAGACCGCCAAGCATCATCCGGCCCTTCCTCATGCCCACAGTGGGTGAGGAATAATGGTGCAAACGCTGCATGCCTTTCCTTCTGCATCCCTTCTCAAGCTGGGCTCTCCTTCAGGAATGAGCCCACCAATATCTGTTCCTCCTTCAAAGAGCAGCTGACACATTGTCTCCTCTCTTTAGACTTTCTGATCGCTCAGGCTGAATCAGTTTCTCCTTCATTCAGGCACTCATTTTATTCTACACATTTTCCCACTATAGTCTTAATCATACATTATTGATCCTTTATGTGCTTTTTCCCCTCTGCTAGATTGAGAGGTCCTTAACAAAGCACTTTGCTTTATTCACTTTGGAGTTTCACCAGAGAGCAGTCTGACCTACTGTAGTTGCTCAATAAATGCTAGATGAATGAATGGAACACACATTTCCACTTCAATGTTAATGTATGTGGAGGTTTCTTGACTTGACCAAGGCTGTCTGGCTGGCTGGAGGCAAAGGCTGTAGTAGGGTCCAGACCCCTTGATACATATTTACTAACTGCTACTATATGTCAGGTGCTGCCAGTGGTCCTCTGGATGCTAAGATGATTTTTCTGGACATTTGATAAAGATGATTTGTTTATGTATGTGTTTTTCTTCCTGCTACTATGAGCTACTAGAGGTTAGGAATAGTTTATTTGTCATCTCGTATCACCAGAACTTAGCACAAGGCCTGGCAAGTGGTCGGAACTTACTAGATATTTGCAGCATTCATGACAAACTGAAATGAATAGATGAACAGAACAGAAAAGAATGTTCAAATGTTAGAGGGAGGAAGATTAGTCTCAGTGCAGTATTTTGCAACTGCAATCTCTTTTTTTTCCATTTATTACTACCATTTCACACTACGTTAAAACTCAATGTTTTTATTCCCTCTTAATAACTCCCAAATTTACTACTTTTTGAAATGTACAGTTTTTAAGTTAGAAAGCAGTGCAATGTAGGTGTGATTTGTACTATGTATGAAACATTATAACTCACAAATTTTACATTATTGAACGCTTAAAATTTAGGGGTACTAGTCTAAATAGACACCCTCAGAAAAACTGAGCAGTCAGTGAAATCTTTTAATGCCAGAAAGTCATAAGCATATAATCTCAGTGATCAAAAGTGTAGCTGAAAGAGGGCACAGAATTTTCAGCATGGAAAGAGAAAAAAGGGAGTGATATTTTAGGCAGAAGGTAAAGGTTAGCAAAGGAAAAACAAAACCTTTGTAGGAAAGAGCACAGGGAAATTTGTGAATGTGAGTCAGATACTATAAATCTGAATTAAGCATGCTTTCAAATTCTTGGGCAAAGTTCATCATTTTCCCCCATTCTTGGATGCTAGTCTACTGCTCCACTATTCTCCTGGGCTTTTACATTGGTCTTATTCTGGGCCAACATTTGCCTGAGGGAATTCATGGAAAATCAGGGTGATTCTGGGGCCAATCAGATGATTCAGGCTTCCTCAGGACAGATCAAGGATTTGGTGTTTGTAAGGATTCTTCCGCCAAACCTCTATTGGAACCCGGACAGGGCATGCATCATGAGTTGGCCTAGAATGGGACTGAGATGGGGAAGTCTGGCACACGTTAGCTGTAAAACACTCCCTGAGATCCTCAATCCAGCAGAGATGTGAAGTGAAATACTAAAGAGAGAACATTTAATATATAATAATTGAAATGCATGATAGGATATGCAGTTAATCCTATATATCTATATCTATAGCTATAGTTGTTGTTGTTGTTAGACAGAGTCTTGCTCTGTCACCCAGGCTGGAGTGCAGCGGCATGATCTCAGCTCACTGCAACCTCTGCCTCCTGGGTTCAAGTGATCTTCCCACTTCAGTCTCCCAAGTAGCTGGAATTACAGGTGTGTGCCATCAAGTCTGGCTAATTTTTGTAGTTTTTGGTAGAGATGGGGTCTCACAATGTTGTCCAGGCTGGTCTTGAACTCTTGACCTCATGTAATCCACCCACCTAAGCCTCCTAAAGTGCTAGGATTATGGGCATGGGCCACTGTGTCCAGCCTATCCTAATAATCTTTATAATGCAAGTTAAGAAAAGAAAGGCTGGAATGCAAAGAATCAAGTTGTAGGTTGTTTTGAAGAATGGGCAATGTTAGTGATTTCTTAAATGAGGAAGGAAAAGACAAGACAGAACTATAAATTAAACAAAGGTTGAGAGAGGAAAGGAGTAAATTAATATAAGATCAGAGAACAGGTTTTTTGAAAGTATAAAATGTATAATAATTGTAACTTCACATACTAAACATTTTAGACTATGGCATTTTACTTGCAAATGGGTTGGTTACAGGGACAAAAAGGCTGTATCTTGAGGCACTGATGCTTTACAAATAACATGTTGGAGCATCTTTCATAAACCATTAATGACTTATTTTAACAAAAGATGTAGATGTTATCCTGGGTCATCAAAATAAGTCAAATCATTATTTTTATTTCCTAGTTGTAAATGCCTTTTTATTCAATTTGAGTCTATGCGTGATTAGTCATTTGAAATGCGAGTAGCTTATATCCTACATCTTTGCATTCACCAGTCACTTCTGAGCTATCTTTTGAGTCACCACATTTCCTCATTTCTACAGGATTTCCCACGATCTCTTCTACTATATCATTTCTTTTCCCATTTATTTTCTGGATTCCAGCCTACCCCTTCATCCATTTCTCTCCCATCTTTCCCTTCCTAGCAAATGTCACAATGTACTTGTTCAAGCTGAAAACTCAGAAATCACCCTTGATTCCGTAATTTCTTGACTCACCTATCGTTATTCTTTCTATTTGGTCTTCTGTGTTTTGTCTGTTTGTTTTTGGACTCCCACCTTCCAGTCAATCTTCCTTCATACTTCTGGCAGGGTCTAATTAAAATGCACATCTAATTGGATGGCTGTTCTCCTTGAAAACCCTCCACCTGCCTCTAGGCTCATTTCCTCTTTTCTCCAGCCTACTGTGTGTATTAGCTTGTTCTCACACTGCTAATAAAGACATACCAAGACTGAGTAATTTATAAAGAAAAATAGGTTTAATGGCTTCACAGTTTCACATGGCTGGGGAGGCCTCAGAATCATGGCAGAAGGCAGAGGAGAAGCAAAGGCATGTCCTACATGGCGGCAGGCAAGAGAGCTTGTGCGGGGGAACCCCCATTTATAAAACCATCACATCTCATAAGACTTATTCACTATCATGAGACCAGCATGGGAATGATCCATCCCCAAGATTTAATTACTTCCCACTGGGTCCCTCCCATGACATGTGGGGACTGTAACAATTCAAGGTGAGATTTGGGTCAGGATACAGCCAAACTATATCGCTGGGTTTTGGCCAAGGGGGAAATTTCATGTCATTTGGCAAGTCAGCTCAATCCTTTAGAAACACTGCTTTGATATACGCCATTCCATCCTTCCTAGAATATCCTTATTTACTCCTCCTCTCAGTTACACAAACCTTAATTGTCCTAGGACACCCTATTACCTAATGCCCTCACTTACTTGGTGAAGCTTTTTCCTAACGCTTGTAGAAGGCACTCAGGAACTCCCTTTTCTGTACCTGTACAGTCCTTGACCTCTTTTTTATATGTGGTATGTTATACTGTAATTTATTTTTTAACATGTCTGCTTCACCACCAGGTAGTGAGTTCTGTGAAAAATGGGCATCTCTGGTCCCTAACACAGGGCTTGGGTAATATGTGTGGACTCAACCAAGATTCTCAGTTATGGTTCACTGGATAAATGAATAAGCAAACAAACTTGACAGTCATACTTTCTAACAGTGACAGACACTAATTCAAATGAGTTGGGTGGTCTTGTAGAGTGACAGTACTATTTATTTGTTTTAATAAGATTATTACCTCAAAATGTAAGGAGTACAAGTTCTGGTAGGTTAAAGCAATATCTGGAATGACTTCAAGATTGCGGCACAGGACATCCCTGTGGGAGCTGAGGGAATGGAGGAGGTGACACAGACTATTGTAACTGGTTCACAAATGGTGGGATTTCTCTGTGTTTAGACCTGCTCAGAGTCTGGGGCATGATGGGCTTCCAAGCCATCTGTGGCTGCTGCTGCTCTGTTACTGCCAGGAAGACACAAACATGTTGAGAACAAAACTTACTGCAATAGACACCTTTGTGCATTCTCTTCTCTATTTCTACGTCTCCCCTCCGAAACAAGGCATTACCCTTGATGTACTTTACAGAATATCTGTCAGTTGGGATCTCCAGTTTATTACCAGCTTATCAGAAAAGCAGAGTATACACAGAACTTTCCATAAGGCATTGCAAAATAAAGTCTTGAGGTTGGCAACTGATTGACTTATGTCATGACTATTTTAATCATACCTGAGAACTTAAGATATCAAATTCCTCATTTCTGAGACAGTCAGGAACTCCCAAGATAAAGATTGAGCTGTTTCCTTTAATTCCTTGTCTCCCAACCTAAAGTGGTGGAATTTACGTTCAGTTGACAGCCAGGCTTAAGAGAGGTAAAGACATCTAATGGGCTTGACCCTGGCCCACTTTTCTCCTGGGCTGGCCCTTGTCCTGATGGGGAACATTCTCTATGTTGTGGTTGTCATGTCTTAAGTCACAGGACCAACATCACCAATAACAGTTTTCAATTTGGGACAGCACCAAAAATACTGCAAGTTATTTCTATTCTTCAATTTCTTAAATAGCAGGCAGAGAGATTTTTCAAGGACCAATTCTGGATTGTGAACACAGATTTCATTTATGGTATCCTCAACTTCTTCCCACATAATACGTGACATTCAAATCTTTTTAAAATTGATTTCTCCCTCTTCCTAATAAACCAGCCTGCTCTTCAAGGAGTGGCTATAAGTCATTCACTCTTGAAAATTTTCACTTTGGTTTTGGTTATTCTATAGTGATCTGACAGCAATGAGCAGGGAGGGTCTCTTATAGTCTATCTCCCCAGTTAATATGCCCTGTGAAGAACAAACACACTTAGATGCTAATTGAGGGTTTTGCCTGAGCTTGTGATATGCCATCCCAGAGACTGCCATTGACAACTGTTAACACATACTGCTCAATACCCATATTGTTCTGATTAGAGAAAAGTGAAGTATCAGGAGTGCAGAGCGTCACTGGGATTGTGGGAACACAATACGTAAGTCACAGCCGCCTGTGGCTGCCTGGGGAGAGAAGAGTTTCAGTGTGTTAGAACGAAGTTCTATGAGAGCAGAATCTTTGTCTTTTTCACCTCTGTATCCACAGCATCTTGAATGTTCCCAGCACATGGATGACACTCAATAAATGTTGTTATTGTCGATGAAAGAATAATGGAATTCAAGGCTGTAGCAACAGAAGTTCTTATTTAAAATGGAATTACAATGAAATCTAAAAACACATAGAGGGCACTTATTAGGTTTGTATACATACTGTACATATACACTGATTCTACCCTTAGCAACATCTGCCCCTCAACCCCACCATCCCCCATCCTCGTACATAAACTTAAATTATAAAAGGAAAAAATCACGTGGAAGAGAGAGTTAATAGAATTAATGTCTCTTTTATTCTTCCTTAGAACTATATAATGAACAGTTATTTCATATTGTTGCTATCTGTTTTCTGCTTTTATATCATTTTCTAGATTATAAGATTCTTGCAGACAGGAAGTCTCCTGACGACTTTCCATCCTTGGCAACTAGTAGGATATCTGACAGTAGAATGTTGCTACAAATTGGTTAACTTTTCTGGATAGGTGTCCTACAGGGGACTAATGGTAAGGACAGCCTGATGATATACAATGGAGAGGCTCAGGCAGACTAAGCAAAAGCTAGTGGCTAGGAATCCAAATGTTCCCCCTTGAAAACCAAACCTCTCTCGCGTTTTAGTCAGGTTTGCCAGGTCTGTAAAAGGTGAGCAGTCTTGGTCTCTAGTCTTACTTGTATATTACTTCTCCCTTTCCATGTAAAATCTCTCCTGGGACTTGGCTAATGCAATATTAGTGTTTTCACTGTATTGGTTCATATACTGGCAAACCTTCTGCTTAACAGAGGCAGTGAAAGGTATAATGGGTAGATGGTTGCTGGTCAGGGGACAGTTGCTGATCCAGGGCCAGTTAAGCCAGCAGACAGACATCCTGGGGTTTCATCAGACTTAGCATAAGGACAGGAAACCAGGATGTACTCTCTAGTGAACAAGAGGCAGAAAGGCCGACTGGAAGTCAGAGATCTGGGGAAAAGGCTCCTTGCAGGTTCAACAGTTGACCTGGAGGTAGAAGTTGTTAGAGTTTCAGGATGTTGTCAAATGGTCAGAGAACAAACCTCTATCTACCAACAACTACATCATGCATTAAGAAAGTCTCACAGACTAAATCTCCAAAACTCACAGCAGTAAACTTAAAATGCAAATAATTGTTTCTTTTCTGCAAATAAGTTTCTACCTCTTTTTTTTTTTTTTCTCGCTCTGTCGCCCAGGCTGGAGTGCAGTGGGGCGATCTCGGCTCACTGCAAGCTCCGCCTTCCAGGTTCAGGCCATTCTCCCGCCTCAGCTTCCCGAGTAGCTGGGACTACAGGCGCCCGCCACCACGCCAGGTTAATTTTTTGTATTTTTAGTAGAGACGGGGTTTCACCGTGTTAGCCAGCATGGTCTCGATCTCCTGACCTCGTGATCTGCCCGCCTCGGCCTCCCAAAGTAAGTTTCTACCTTTTATCTCTCCTGTCACATTATAGATTACTTGTAGAGATGGAGAGAATTGAATCCATTTATCCTCTGTAGCTGTTATCTCATTACCACTCACCTAATATGTGAATTTATAATAAGTGGTGGATTTTACGTTCAGTTGACTTGGGTAGGTGTCTGATGAAAGAAAGTTTGATAGGACTGTTTGATAAGAGCTTCAGGTGCTTAAAAATAAATGTGCTTCAAAATTCTGAGGCAGTTTCTCAAGGCTTCTGCTGCAAACACACTGACATCATTCCAGTGGCTTTCTTTATTTAAACTCGTCTTTCCTGCAGTCCTGTCGTAGTTCTGCATGCTGCAATGCCACTGTGTGCCTGCCTCTGTTCCACACAAGGCTGCGCTCCTTGAGGGCAGGTCTGTGCCTTGTGTCGGGGTATCCTTAGTACCTGGCAGAGTACTGGGCCCTGGGAATTTCATAATTTAATGTAAATTTCAAGTTTGCTAATTAGAGGGCCTTTATTTGCTTACCTAACAATATAATTATTTCCAGCTAGTACCAGAAAAATAATCAGAGTATTTCTAGGACCGACATCAAAAGTGCCAGTAGCATTTCAGAGTTAGGGTCCTCTGCTCAACTTTCCACTGGGACTTGCCTGCTAGTTTCCTGGCTCATTTGTTATTGGGGGTTGCTGTGCCTGGACTCACATTGCAGTTCCTGCTGTTTTATGGTATTAATGTGAAGGATCCTTTTTCACTAGTGTAGGCAATTATGAATTGAGTGTAATTGCTCGGAGAGGACACGAGTCATGAATAAATACAATCTGAAAATTCCTAACATACATTGCATTATGGCAAATAGATCCTTCTTTCTAGGTTAAATACTTACAAATAAAATATAATTCATAAGAAATATTTTGCAAAGTGTACTATTACTGATACTGCATGCTAATCAAGGCCTATATAGACTAAGTTACTTTATTATCAGGTTAATTTTTTTCAAAATTTATGTTTCCAAATTAAATTAATAATTAAAATCAAATTCATCTCAATTTATTTTCCTTATTCTCTGAATGCTATCCATATATGAATCGACAGTCCAGAATCATGGACCAATTATTACTTCACAAAATCTCATTTCCCATGACTGCATATATTATGCAGATGATAATATTCTTAGGTGTGCATTGTCACCTTGGATTTCACATGATGCTATAAAAGCTAGAGTGACACTGAGAACTGAAAAATGGAAGGGTATAGAGAGTATTTTTGTGTGTGTGATTTATATACATTTTATTTTTTTATCTCATTTTGTTCCATTGACTAGGCCCTCAGTATGACTTAAAGCAGAGATGGGAGCATATTTATCTCATTTATAACTTTAAAAGGAATGAGCCAAATGTTTCACCATTATACACTTACTATGAACCCTTTTTGTTGATATATTTCATAAACTTAAGGAAATTTCTATTCCTAGTCCATTAAGAATTTTTATTAATAGAAACTGAATTTCATCAAATGCCTCTTCTACTTTTATTTTGATGATGCTTTGGTGTTCATAAAATTGTTAAGATAAATTTCATTAATCAATTTGTTAACTGTTATGATGAACTTTTCCCCATAATTAAAAAAATTATTAGTAATATTATTTTAAATTGACAAACAATACTTGTATATATTTATATGGTATAATGTGCCATTTTGTTATGTGTATACAATGTGGCATGATTAAATCTAACTAATTAACATATCTATCACCTCTCTTATTTTTTATGGTGAGACATTTGAAATTTATTCTCTTAGTTATTTTGAAATATAAATACATTATTATTGACCATAGCCACCCTGCTGTGCAGTAGCTCTCAAAACCTATTCCCTCTGTCTATCTGTACCCTTTGATCAACAACTCCTCATTCCCGCCCTCATCAACCTCTTCCAGCCTCTGGTAACCTCAACCCCTTCCGGCCTCCAGTAACCGTCATTCTACTTAGAAAATGTTTAAAAATAAGAATACCAAGAATGAGAGACAGAGGTTATAAATAGATAGAAAAATACTGGAAGGGGGAGAGGAAAGAAAGGGAGGGAGGGAGAGAGGGAAGGAATGAAAATGAGTGAAAAAGAGAGAATTTGAAGATCGTGTGAAAGACAGGGAGGGGAAAATCAAGTGAACACTTCAAGTGATCCCTTGCTATGTGAACTCATCTCTCATCATATGGGCTCAGCACTTTATGATCTAACATAAAGCTTTATGACAGGCCATCAGCAATTTTGTTCATCCTGATATCCACACCTGGCAGTGGCTCGGCACCTGTTGTCTAACTCAACAAGGCCAAGTGCATGCTGCCAGCCCCACGGCGCACTCTGTCCTGTGGCCCCAGACAGCCTTCTCTGAACAGACTCTGTAGACCTGGCCTCCTGGCTGCCTGATTTTGTAGTCATGATGGCTTCAATAACTTCAGGCATTATCCATGGAAATGTACTGCAAACTTGACTTTTTAAATTAGGTATTTCAATTTCCATAACTTATGAAATCTCAGTTATTTTGTTAGTTCAGTGATGAGCTTAAGGGTATCATTTGCAAAATCATTTCTTCCAGATTCTTCATTAGGTAATTATAAAAACAACATTTCCTCTTCTATGGCATGAAGAGGAAATTAAACCAGTCTTCCATCACTATCAAAATATTAATTTTCTTAATATTTTAATTGAATCCATTCCTCAGCAATAACACCTACCATTTACCAAGCATGTACATGTGCCAGGGACTGAGCCCGTGGCTTTGCATGGGTCTTTTTTTAATCCTCACAAGCTACTCTTCCACAATGACTGCCAATCTACAGATGAAAAAAAGAGGCACACAGTGGCCCAAGAACTTGCTGAAGTTTACAAAGTTAGTGAGTGGTGGAACCAAGTCTATGAACCCATGAATGAGCTCCAGAATTTTCTCTCTTAGCTATCAAATTATTCTGCGTCTGCAAGGTTGTTTAACAATAAGGATTGCCTAAACCATGCCTGTGTATCTGTGTATCCTTTGAACACTTACTCTCAGCTGAAATTGGTGAAATGACTGACAAATCTTATTTTTTCATAAAGGGATGTGTTTGTAACGGAATTCATTTTCTGATAAAAAATATTATCTAAAATGTTTTTCCTACTATTTTGCTATAATATCAACTGAATAGATGGGAAGGCCCTTCACCAATATGTAGGTACTATCTAGAATAGATGGGAAGGCCCTTCACCAATATGTAGGTACTATCTATCTAGTTAAAATGAAGTGTAGGTTGTTGAAGCCCCAAGGAAAAGAAAGGGTGCTAAATTTTTCTTTTCTTTTTTTTTTTTTTTTTTTTTTTGAGATGGAGTCTCCCTTTGTCACCCAGGCTGGAGTGCTGTGGCACAATCTTGGCTCACTGCAAGCTCCGCCTCCCAGGTTCACGCCATTCTCCCACCTCAGCCTCCTGAGTAGCTGGGACTACAGATGCCCGCCACCACGCCCGGCTAATTTTGTTTTTGTATTTTTAGTAGAGACGGGGTTTCACCGTGTTAGCCAGGATGGTCTCGATCTCTTGACCTTGTGATCCACCCGCCTCAGCCTCTCAAAGTGCTGGGATTACAAGCGTGAGCCACCACGCCCGGCTGCTAAATGTTTCAACTCCTAACATTCCTAAGCCTAGGAAGGAAGTCCTTCCCAATAATATACAGACTGTACCTATCTGCATAAAATGAAGCACAGGTTTATTACAATGATTAGAGTAATACTAGCAAGAACCTCAAGTCTCTGTGACTAACAAAAAGGTCCACTTTATTATTTTGGCACCTATATTCTTCAGATGCAGAAGCCAACCACTTGCCTCTTCTCTTCAATTTGCTTGAGCAGATGGGGGATGCAAAGGCTGGTAACTACAAGACTACATTTTCTCTTGGGTTGAGGGAATAGATTGGGGAAAAGAGAAAAATGTATGCTTTTATGGAGAAACTATTGTTTCTCCCTGGGCAAAGCGAGGGATCATCGAGAAATCTTGTATGCTGTATAAAAATTATTTTCAAAATCATGGGTATATAATCTCTTCCCTTTCCTGTTTGTTGAAAAACATGCACATAACACCAAGTTACTTTATAGGCCAGATGAGAGGAAAAATAAAGTAAATGACTTAAACTTCCCAATTTTTTCAACAGTTACAAGGAAGACACAGTAAGATGTGATCTTCTAAAGTGAAAATTTCCCAAAGTACCAAGGAAAAGGAGAAACTGCAGAAGAGCTTCAAGAACCACAAACACTTGGGTTTTGCATCTTGCCAGAAAATCTGCACTGTTGGTAGAAGCCTGGGGTAGGGCTGGCAGGACCTGACTCAGCGGAGAAAATGCCACCCACAGTCACTGACTCTGCTTCCGCAGTAGCGGAGCTCCCCTGTTTTCTCTGGAGGTTTCCCACAGCCGGGCCAATACCCATGTCTCTCAGATGGGAAACTGGACTTTTGGAAAATTGAAACTAAATAAAGTTGTATAACTTTTAAAAGAAGTTTACAATTATGATGCTTTGCTTTTCACATGCGCTTAAAGTCCATTTTCTGTTGAATAAATAATATTAACCACATATTAACCACCTAATAGTTTTAAAATGTCTCAAACAGCCATCACCATCATTCTGAACAGAATCACACTTCTTTTTAAAAGATCACTGTTAAAAGATGAGGGGAAACAGTACCATTAAAAGGAAGCAAAACATAGTTCAAAGTCTGCTTCCATGAGGTAATGTACACTATCGACTAATTGTCAAAGGAATCCAGTCTATACCGAGATGAATGAAGCATGAGGTTAAGGCAGGTGGCTGGGAGAAGTTAGAAACTCTCCCTCCCCGATTGCATTACATTATTGTCGAAGCCAAGCAGATAGATAGAAATCAATGAAAGTTTTGTTGATCTGACACAGGAACTTGTGCACAGTGAAATGGAAGCTATGTATTTTGTGCTGGAAACTGCCAGTCTCACATTAACTGCATGTATATGTGAATATATGTAGGTTTGTGTAGGTTTGTGTGTGTGTGTGTGTGTGTGTGTGTACAGCATGAAGCAGAACATCTGAAAGAATCTTCAGAATTATTTCTCGTTAGATGTACTTTTGGGTAGATTTTATCTTTTTCCCCCAGAAAGTAATATTTCAATATAGAAATTTAGGCCTCAGCAAAGTGAGGTTTTTTTTTTTTTTATGTTACAATGCTTGCAAACTTAATGGTGGTTTCTAATGGAAAACAAATTTCTTCCCCTAATCATAATATAAGAATTTGCAGGCCAGGCACAGTGTCTCATGTCTCACGCCTATAATCCCAGCACTTTGGGAGGCCAAGGCGGGTGGGTCACTTGAGGTCAGGAGTTTGAGACCAGCCTGGCCAAGATGGTGAAACCCCCTCTCTACTAAAAATACAAAAAAATTAGCTGGGCATGGTGGCAGGAGCCTGTAATCCCAGCTACTTGGGAGGCTGAGGCAGGAGAATCGTTTGAACTTAAGAGGTGGAGGTTGCAGTGAGCTGACATTGCATCATTGCACTCTAGCCTGGATGATAGAGTGAGAATCCATCTCGAAAAAAAAAAGAAAAAGAAAAAAGAAAAAACGAAAAACTACAGTTTTCTTTAATATAAATAAAATCTCTTGTATTTGTACAAACGCAATTGTGGAAAACACTGAAATATTTTCCTATTTATTTTTATGCTGGTCAGCAAGTGGTTTGATTTCGGTAGCCAGACTCCAGGTGCAGAGTTCAGAACTATAAATTTGTTGTACCTCCTATCAGTTAAAGTTGACTGAGATGGCCATCCCTCCCCAAATCACAGTTCGTCTTGAAAATCTTCAGAGTGTGAAAAAGGTATGGCTCAGAACAAACACCAGTGGTTAAAAATGATATCCTTTTCCCAGTAGCGATATACATTGTGGGTATGTGATTAGAATATTTAAAATACCTGTTCACCTGGTATTAAGCCACATGTGTAATACATTAGAGTGTTCCTGGCTCATTTCCAAGAGTATGTATCCTCACTGCCATGAAAATACTGCGGGAGCCAGGGCAAAGATACTTAAGTTTCACCCTAGAAGCAATGCACAACATATATATTTCACTGTTAACAATATCATCACACTAAGCATTGTTGACTGACTAATACTTCAATGAAATCAATTATTTATTTTTGTGTCAGAAGAGAAACTGGCAGCATAGGGACACTTGTGTTATCCTTGCTAATTACTTCCATTGTCTTGAAATCTCAATCAACCTACCCCCTTCTCTTTCTCCCTACATCTCTCTCGTTCTTTCACTTTCTCTCTCATTGTCTAACTCCTCTTCTTGGATACAAAGTAGTTCAAAGGGGACACCAGGAAATAAATTATATCCTAATGCTATCTACCAGAGTTCACTAAGAGAACTTGGGCAAGCCCCTCTATTTGGCAGAGTTCCACTTTTTTTTTCTTTTAACTCTATTTTGACTGGACTTAATAGAATTACTTTTGACTCCTAGTTTTTTTCCTTTTTCTACCCTTTCCCTAGTTTAAAAATCTGTGTAGTGAGGACCTTATTTCTGAAGAATTTCATCACGTTATTACACAAGAAATATACATACATTATATGATAATTTATAAAATGTGACATTTTATTTAAATGTAAGCACCAAATACACTGAAGATTTCAGTGTCCAAAGTATGCGTGTGTATATACAAGTGAAAGTTTAAAATTTTTGCCTAAATTTACATATGCAAAAAGGAACAGCAGGAAAATAAATACCAGTTGTATGAGCATCATGTGCTAATGGCTATATATGTACATAAGTTAATTCTTACAGGAAGACCAAAAGTGAGTTTTATTATCCCTTTTTTACTGCTTCAGAAGCTGAAGCTTGGTGGAAATTCAGAATGTTGCCCAAGATCACAGAGTTTATGAAAGTGGCAGAAACCAGGTTTGTCTGACGCTAAAATGTGTGTCTGTCCCTCCTCCAGCACCACACTGTCTTTTTTATGAAAGGGCAGGGCTTTTATTATATGGATGTGAAAGTGTAAGGGGAGAGTTTTCATATTTGGCAGTATTGTATTCAGAATCCTGACCTGTTTAGGTGATCATTAAAAGTGCACATGTCCTGGCTGGGTGTGGTGGCTCACACCTGTAATCTCAGCACTTTGGGAAGCCGAGGCAAGCGGACCACTTGAGGTCAGGAGTTCAAGACCCAGCCTGGCCAACATGGTGAAACCCCGTATCTACTAAAAATACAAAAATTAGCCAGGTGTGGTGGCACATGCCTGTAGTCCCAGCTACTCGGGAGACTGAGGCAGGAGAATTGCTTGAGCCCAGGAGGTGGAGGTTGCAGTGAGCCGAGATCGTGCCATTGTACTCCAGCCTGGGCAACAGAGTGAGACTCTGTCAAAAACAAAACAAAACAAAACAAAAAACTGCACATGTTCTGAGGAAGGAGGATCTTTTGATCCCAGGAGTTTGAGAAGAGCCCAGGCAACCTAGCGAGACTCTGTCTAAAAATTAAAAAGTGCACTACTTCATTAGGAACTTCTAAATTTATAAGATTTTGATTTATGTTTCAATTTACTGTAAAGAAGCTTATATAGTTTAAAATAAACCTCCTAGGCCAGGCACAGTGGCTCACTCCTGTAATCCAAGCACTTGAGAGGCTGAGGTGGGAGGATCACTTGAGCCCAGGAATTCGAACAGCCTGGGCAACATGGCAAAATCCTGTCTCTACAAAAAATACAAAAATTCGTTGGGTGTGGTGGTATGTGCCTGTGGTCCCAGCCACTTGGGAGGCTGAGGCAGGAGAATCACTTGAGCCCAGGAGTTGGAGGTTGCAGTAAGCCAAGGCTGTGCCACTGCATTGAAGCCTGGGCAATGGGCATGAAATCATCTCAAAAAAAAAAAAAATAAAAACAAGCAAAACGAAAACAACAAACGCAACAAAAAACCTCCTGAGGCCTCTATAATTTGCTTTTTTAATACACTGTATGTGATAAATAGTCCTCAGTCACAGAAATGCATGTGCACCTTATTAGTGCAAACTAAAATTATATGAATATTTCTGAAGCAACTTGTCCTATGAAATAAAAATATAAGTTTGGTGAAAGCTTTCAGGCTTTTTAGCACACACACATATACATACTTACAAAACGTAAAATATTTTGGCACTTCCACTTTTCACAACTGTTTCTGTCTTTTCCAGCGGAACCTCTCTCAAGAATTGTCATTATGCTAATTTACTGCTCGAGACCACGGAGTGTCTTTCTGATGCCAATTGTATCACATTTAATTCCACATCAAATATTTAGAGTGCTTGATTTCCCTGTCTCTTCTTCCCATTTTCATTGCCATCTTTCTTATATCTTTTTATTTATGTGAATATTCTCTTCATATCAAGCTAATACTTTTCATGCCCTTGTTTCTTTTTTCTTGTGACTCTTTGCATACTTGGTTTTTTGAAAGTTTGCCCACGTTTTTCATCAATTGATATCCATCTTTCTGAATTTGACTTGTTTGAGCCTAAAAAGGACTACCAATCATGGCTGCCTGTCCTGACCTTTTAAACTTCTTTCTACCACTTATTGCTTGATGACATGGTATCAGGAGCGGCACTGCCATCATGGTCGTCGTTATCATTATTGTAAACCTTACCAAGTGTCAGACCCTGTTCTAAGCATTTTATAAATGTTTATCCATTTAATTCTCATAACAGCTAAGCAGAAGATAGTATTATTAACCTCTATTTACAGACGATGGGATTAAGAAACAGAGAGTTGGCCGGGTGCAGTGGTTCACGCCTGTAATCCCAGCACTTTGGGAGGCCGAGGCTGGCGGATCACCTGAAGTCGAGAGTTCAAGACCAGCCTGACCAACATGGAGAAACCCTGTCTCTACTAAAAATACAAAAAAAATTTAGCTGGGCGTGGTGGCACATGCCTGTAATCCTAGCTACTCGGGAGGCTGAGGAAGAATTGCTTGAACCCGGGAGGTGGAGGTTGCGGTGAGCTGAGATCACGCCATTGCACTCCAGCCTGGGCAACAAGAGTGAAACTCCATCTCAAAAAAAATAAAATAAAATAAAAAATAAAACAGACAGTCTAAGTAATTTGCCCAAGGACATATAGAACTCAGGCAGTCTATCTCCAGAACTGATGCTCCTCAACACTGTGCTATGTTGCCTCCCTCTAAATACCCCATAGTTCTCATTACGTTGTTTTGTCCAGTTGATTCCCACATGTATTTTCTACCTTAATTGGACTGTAAGTTTTGTGAGGTCACAGACAATGTCTTCCAAACTTGTATTTCTCCTGGCATCAATATAAAGTTCTGTATATCCTAAGAATTTAATAATTATTGCTTGAATAAAACAAAATCTACATATAAAAGTGGAAGCAAATTTTTAAGATATACATACTGGAAGGCCACTTTCAGAAATGAAGGTAAAAATATAACAAAAATCTTGAATGCTTTAATGAATAATTTGCAATATAAGTCTAACTGCATTGAAAATCGATAATGAAATTGCTGTATTAATTTCTTTGCACTTCTATTTAATATTTCTTAACTGTCATTATAAGCATTTGATGCATAGAATAAGCATACTTTCTTTTGTTTAAGCCAAGCTGCTTGCATTATTTTGGCTTTCTATTACAGATAATACTGTAGACATTTCAAATCCACAATGATTTGGAGGTAGTCAAATCAATATCAGCTACATAATACATAAAGGATGGATGCAAATTTTATAGCAAAGAAATTAATAATTTATATCTGTTTACTGTAACAAAATTTTTTGTCAGCTTTTTCTGAAGTTTAACAATGCTTGAGCCAATATTGATAAATTATGTATAACATATAACTGTTTAAGATAAAATGCTACTAAAATAACTATATTATTTCATGTTTATAAATGTTACAGAATCTATTATATGTAGTAATTCACGTAGTACTCTTTCTGTATGATAGCCTAGCATAGTTACCATAGCTCATATCACTATTACATCTAAAAATATTTTTTATTTCAGCAGTTAAAAAGAACCAATATTTTCCATATTACAGACTTTGCTGAAGAGTCAGAAATGAATAATATAATATCAAAGGTAATAATTTCCCAAACTGAATTTATCCTGCATGGTACAAATGACTCAACAATGAAAATTTTGTTTAAAAAGTATTCATGTAAAAGGCTTTGTCCCTGGAATACAGCTCTAAGTGGCTCACTATCTAGGTTGAAAATGGTTTCGCAGGGTTGTATGTCCTATTTTTCCATGCCTGCAGTAAAGATACAATATGGGAATTCAGCTTGGTAATTACTAATACACCACACAGACACAATTACACCCTGTATGCTGCATAAAGGAATCACTTGTGGTCTGCATCCATTACAAAGAGCAGTAGGGGGCCAACATGCAAGACGACAAAATGCTTTACAAGACGGAAGGAGACCAGAAGAGTCGATGTACACAGATACAAGGACCTTGATTCTTCTAGCAATGATTTAAGCCTCTTTCCATCAATTATCGTCTTTTGTCTCAAGAGTCTTATCACCAGCAGCATTACAGGAACTGAACATAACAATGCTCAGACTCGTATAACCCTATGAACTGTGCTGACATTTCCACACCCTGTTGCTATGTTTGACCTGGTTTACAGATTACTTAAGCAAAACAAAATAGAAAAAAAAAGCATTCCCATTGCAAAACTGGCATACACACACACACACACACACACACACACACACACACACACGTATTTTTTTATGACTTACTCAGAATTCCATTTGTTGAAACTAAAAGCCATCCTACTCCAGAAATGCTATTTTTCAAAGTAGTTTCTACATCATTTTAAAGATTAAAAGTAAAAATCTGCTTGAGTGAAAATAATAATTTTAAGAAAGAGACTAAATGTTGGCATGTTAAGGGGATACAGACTGAACAAGAGAATTTCATGTCTCAGGGAGCTAAACTAAAATGAGTCAGCTGCTCTCTTAAGGTACAATGAGTCACAGGAATAATTTTCTTGCTGTGAAACTCCTTAAAGTTTTGAGTTTAATTGCAAGCAGTAAGTGGTTTTTATTATAACAGAGTTTCCTCTGTTAATTATTACACGACGTACATTATTTTACAATACTTTCATTTAAGATTCTCTTTTAAAATACATCTTACAAATATGAATTTTTAAGACCTTAGGAAAGTTAGTTATTTATGGCAGTTTGTCAGGTTCCCTGAAACAAAGCCTTGTCTTTCAGAAAATGTTTACAACCTATGAGGAAAAAAAAAAAAGTATCCTGGGGCTAAAATGTTTATTGGCACCTAGAAGTCTGAAGAGAGAGTCGGGCCTGTGGTTTTTTGAGGGCACTTTATCATCGCCCGCATTCTCAAAGGTTTCTCTGAATGAATAGAACTGGATTACTCAGCCTTCTATTCCACGCCTATTCCTCTCCATTTTCCTTGGCACGACTGAGAGCCAGGCTATTTTTAGTTAAGCAGTTTTCTATTTTTAGACAACTACCAGTTAGAAGACATTTGTTAGGGAAAAATTAAAAAAAAAGCACACACACACAAAGGGAGGAGGGAAAGAAGCTTCCTCCACATATTGTGAAGCAGCCTTCAACCTGTAACTCCAGGCATTTCAGCTGCTTTCAATCTTGGAAAAATAAAGAAAAATTCAGAGTTCAGGGTTTTAAAAATAAACCTACCCTCTGGCAAACAGACCAAAATACAACAAGCTGTTACTATGTGAAACAGTGACTACAAAAACAAAGAACATTCTCCAATGATTAAACTGCGAGAAAAGTTGAAGAACTGATTAGGTTGTAAGAATGTTGCACAGGCATGTAACAATTTTCCAGCCTCTCAGCCAGATGTATCATGTTTTAGAATTTAGAGAGGGGAAAAAAAAATCTCATCTGTAAAGTTAAACTAACGATGTGGGATGCAACTTTAAGGTTGAACCTTTTATTAAGCTTAAAGGCAATGAAATTCACTGCATTTTTCTAACATTTGTGTTCTATGGAATTTCTCTAGAAATTATAACCATCTGTTTATAGAAAAACCATACATTAAAAAATCCAGTGCTAACAGAAAACAAAAAATAAAGGCTGCTACATATACATACTACATATATGTGTGTATATATATACATATATGCATTTAATGTCCATATATCACTACATTTATTAGTCTCACTTTTAGTTTAAATGGGAAAAATGGTTCTCAGATTGGCTTAGCATATCAAATTATTCTACTTATTCAAGGCCATGCCTTCATCTGAAATCTACAGTAAGATTTTTCAGGTGCTCACAGTTGTAACTGCTTTCCTTCTCCTCTGTTAGCCCACTGTACTTTGTCTATATCTTATTATGGTTCAGATAATTGGGTATCATAATCACAGATGCATCACCAGTAACTGGCAGAATGCTTAGCAAATGATCTTCATGTCCATCAATATCTACTGAATGAGAGAACAAATACTGTGTATATTCTGTCCACCATGGACTGCTACTGGCCCTGGAGGGCCGTGAACACCATACTTTGCACATACACTTAATAAATACTTGTGGAAAAGAAAAAAAAAATCAATTCGTTGACCTTTGTTAGATCTTCTTAATTTATGTAAAATGCTACAGTTATTTATATAATCATTCAATATTTACTTATAAATAATACACTTATTAGCATAAACTATGCAGTCGTAAATTAAGAATTTTTGTCTTTCTTTTGGTTAGCATTTTTTCTTCTCTGAACTTTTTCTCTTGACTTTGAAAATAAAACTAATTTTTTAAAACTTAAGGGTTGACAATGGGCTCTGACAGCTGTTATAACCTGCAATCCTCATGACAGCCCCGTAAGGAGCTCAGGGTAGACAGCATTAACTCATGAGGAACCTAAAGCCCAGCAAGGTTACATAACTCGCCCTCCGTTAGAGAATGAGAGTGTGTGATGTTGCTGTAACTGGAACTGAATTTTTAATCTCCATCTTTCCTTCAAATTTGTGGAGCTTTTAAAGTCCTATATCCTAGAAGTAAAATTTGAAAGATGAACTCTCATAACAATGCTTCAACAATATTCTTTAGAAAAATCACTTTGTAGCTTTATTTTTCCCCCACATGAAATTAATTCAGAACAACTACAGTTAAGGAAAACCAATCATGGAGTCTGGATGAAGATAAAATTCCGCACATACTAATTAAGAAAAATCAGAAGAAACCGTGTGCACGCATGATCTTTTCTTTCCTGTTGGAAAAGTTCACAAGGGACCTAGCTTATTTCTACGTTCTTACTACTCATTTTTCCTGTGCCTTTTCCATTTTCTCTTCTTCCTCAGGGCAATTCCAGCTTCAGTGATCCCTCCATTTTCTCGTCTTTCTCCACAAAATCACATAGACTTTAACAAATATTCTGTTCCTTGGAGTAAATGCCAACTGAGTGATTCAACTTTCCTGGTTGGATTTCTCTGCCCTGGCTCAGGTCCTGACTGACGCACAGTGGGCATGTCATAAATGCCTGCTGCAGGAATGGAAGGTGAAGTAGCCAGGTGCAACCTCTCCAGTTTACATATCCTTTATTGGGCTGTATCTATTAACCATCATGCCAGTTTGTTTGTTTGTTTATTTATTTATTTATTTATTTATTTATTTAGAGACTGTGTCTCGCTCTGTCACCCAGGCTGGAGTGCTGGAGTGCAGTGGCACAATCTCAGTTTACTGCAACCTCCGCCTCCCGGGCTCAAGCAATTCTCCTGCTTCATCCTCCCGAGTAGCTGGGATTACAAGCGTGTGCCATCACGCCTGGCTAATTTTTTTTTTTTTTGTATTTTTAGTAGAGATGAGGTTTCACCATGTAGGCCAGGCTGGTCTTGAACTCCTGACTTCAAATGATCCGCCTGCCTCGGCCTCCCAAAGTGCTGGGATTACAGGCATGAGCCACCTCGGCCAGCCCATGCCAGTTATTTGAATGAAAGAGAACACTAGATGCACCAGTTTCGTCATTTACTGTCCAACAGAGGGTTTCTTTCATAATGGACAATTATATTTGGGAGCCACTAGTCACATCTTGCTTGAAATGTGGATAGTGAGACTGAAAAGCTGAACTTTTAATTTTATGTAATTTAAATTATATTTATATTTGTATAGCCACATGTGGCTAGGCTACCTTACAGATTAATGCAGATCTATGTCTTTTCATCTGAAGTCTGGTTATATTATCCAAAGAAAATTTACATGACACAAATGAGTTTATAATTGTCATAGTATAGGTGCTAAATATACCATTTATTTACAAATGTGTACAGTAACTTTCAAAGGGGTTGGGTTTCTGGAACTAACCACAGAGTCAATCAATAAACTTATGTCCTATTGAAATAACTGAGAGTGAAGTTGGCTTTAGATTAGTAGTAGCTCATGCATAGGGTAACTTTGGTCTATTTTTCTATGAAATGGTTTCCTCCTTGACATCATAGTGATGGAACTTGTTTATGATTAAATAGTAATATGCACACTTTTATTTTTGAAAAATAAAGTAATTCAGAAATTATAAAATAAGTTACTATTATTAAAATAAGTTACTATTATTAATTCATATATCTACTTTTTTGTAATACTTTTTTTTTTTTTGAGATAGAGTCTTGCTCTGTCACTCAGGCTGGGGTACAGTGGCATGATCACAGCTCACTGGAGCCTCAACCTCTCATGCTCAGGTGATTCTCTGACCTCAGTCTCCTGCGTAGCTAGGAGTACAGGTATGCACCACCACATCCAGCTAATTTATTTTTATTTTTGTAGAGTTGGAGTCTCTGTATGTTGCCCAGGCTGGTCTTGAACTCCTAGGCTCAAGTAATCCTCCTGTCTCAGCCTCCCAAAGTGCTGGGATTACAGGTGTGAGCCACCATGCCTGCTATAACTATTTTTTTTTTTAATGTGAGGAAAAAACCCAAACACCCATTGTGTAGTTTTACTGTTTACAACGTTTCTTACCCTAGAACAGTAGCTCTAAATAGTTATTCAGTTTATTTACTAAAACATAAAGATAAGAGATTTAATTGATATGAAGAGGTTTTCAGAATCTAATTAACCTTCCAGCTAGTCATTAACTCTATGACCTTTAGAAATAATTGACAGAGAATTTTTTTTCTTATTCATAACTTCTTCCAGGTGGTTAAATTTCAGAGTAGTGCAGAATACACTAAACACCATTGAGACATGACTGGATAATATGCCAAATAGCTATAAAATGGGGTATATTTCCAATAATATAATCTATTTACTTAATCTGTTGTACACATATGCAGCATTTACCTAATTACAGTCCTTTTAATGACTGACTTTGATTAAGTCTTTTCCCAGAATGTCCTATTGATTATTTTGACCAAGAAAATAATGAAAAAGTTATGGGTACTACTATCTCTCTGCACCCAAGGCACATGCCCCTAACCAATCACATCACACTTCCTGAATGTCTGGACTTGGACTCAGCATCTTCCTTAACTGTGTGCTCCAGGCAGCCAGTACAAAGTGATGGGCACACACTAAGGAGTGAAATGTGCCAGAGTCCCACCTCACTGGGTAGTGATGTGCCTTTTATGAATGTATCACACTTCCAGAAAAACCTAAGACACTTCCTTTCAAGAATTAGTTTCACAGAATTTCAGTTGTAAGAACCTGTTTTATAGCATGATTCTAACCCTCCATAAAATTACAAAGAGGAAATAGTCTACAGACACACTTTCAAATTCCATGAAGAAGGAAATACATGTTTGGAAAAGGAAATCTAGATCCTTTCTACTCCAGCAGCATCAGCATCACCTGGTCAGAAATAAAGGGATCCTGGGCCCTGCCCTATACCCACTGAGTTAGAATCAGCATTTTAGCAAGATACTCTGGTGATTCACACTGGGCCACAGGCATTTCATTTGACCCAATACTGGCCAAAGCACTAACAGGTTTCTTCTCTCTTCTCCAGTAATCAAAATACTGTACCTTGGTCTGGAAGTCCTTTCCTTTCCACCAGCACCACAAGCAATACTTTTACTTGGTTTCCTGTGCCTTGTAATTTAATTATTTATTTATTTTTGATGCAAAACAACATTTACTCACTCTAGCTGACTTGAAAGATTCTCACTTTTATTATTAGAACACATCGGATCTCACCAAAGAAAAAATTGTATATTTAAAAATTTTATTTATGCTAATGATCATCAGTAAGTTGATATATATTGAATGTCCACAATATGCTAGGCATTGAGCTGGCAGCTGGAGGTACAGAGATGAACAAAGCTTCGTCATGCCCTTCAGGGAAAGGAGAGGGATTTGTAATTAGACAAAACAAAAACAAACCCCCCAAAACCAACAGTGGGGTGAAGAAATTAAAATAAACACTCCTTAATGAAAAGAGCCATCATCTTAGAATTCTGCTTCTAGGCAAGCCTCAGAATCATTCTTAGAACTTTACTTTTGAATATTTCATGACTATATATTCAGTAACTTTTCCTGAGGAAGTAAGAATATTCTACACTTTGATTCTTATTCGGCACCTTTTAGAGCCAATGTTAGTTTTACTTAGATGATATCAATGGCTAGAATGTAACATTTGGTTCAAATATGCTGCTTACCACCAAGTTCCATATGCCATGAAATTTGTAAATATCATTAAAAATTGACAATTATCATCCAGGCTATATATTTTTCTCTTTTCATTTCCAGGTATGGTGGGAGTCAGGTGAAGAGAGATCACATGAGATCTTTGTTTTGCTCTAGTTCAGGAAGGTTCATGTAAAATAATAATGATGACAAAATGGTAATGATTAATATTGATAAAGAAATTATATTACTGATAAAAGTCTATATTTTGAACCCTGTCTTTTCTGCTTCTACTATTATTAAGTAATTATCTGCTCACTGTGTTCATACTAATGCTTGCAAACTATTAGAGCTGTGTAATAACAGAGACTAGAGGAAGCTCAGTTTTATTGCCTCACATTACTATTTGTTCAACAATGATTATTTTCTTAATAAATGAGATGTGAAGCAGCTCTTCGTGTTTATAAAACATGTAAATTAAGCAAGAAGATTATTTTTAAAAAAGAAATGGCTCTTCAAATTTGATCTATACAAATCATTGTGGTATAGTTATGAGAAATATGAATACATTTAAAAAATTTTAGACTCATTTCTTCTTTAAGACTTTGGGGAACAAGTAAAAATATTATTTACAGGTACTAATAAAAGTCTTTTAAAGATATATAAACAAAATTATATTAAAATTCAGGAAAATAAAAAACTTTTTAAATAACAAAATCTTTTTCCCCTTTTCCCTCAGAAGCCACAACATAGAAGGTTTAAATCTTTATGGAAAATACTAATACTTTGTTAATTTTTCAATACCATGTATTGAAAAGCAATTATATGCTTGGCTTAACAGAGGGGAGGGTAGACTTACTTAGTCACTAGCAGTAAGATCTATATCAATTATGTTTTATAGTAAATCTAAGAAGGATTTGTAATGTATCTCAAGAATACTATTTCTCTAAATTTTTTTATAATGAAAAATACTTTTCTGGAGAAATTAATTTACTAATTATATAGGTAAATACTGGTCCAATGTTGCTTCAAGTAAATTAAAAATAGTAATAAGACAGAACTATCATCTTTCCATTCACAAGCTTCAAGTTAAAAAAAAATACAGTATACTTCACCCAGCTCACACAGTTAATGTTCCCTGTCAGCCTGGACAACTTGCAAGTGCTTTCTGACCAGATCATAAGTTTACTGATTGACTCTGTGGTTATAGGTTAGGGGTAAAGTGTGCTTTTAGTTTTATGGTGAGTGTTTAGTTCCAGATCAGAGTCTCTCGAAGTGAACATTTATGCTCTGAATTCCAAAATCACAAGGTACACAGTTACTCACTTCCGAAGTGACTCCTCAAATTTTATATTGAAGAATTAATTTTGGTATTAATTTGAAAACACAATTTGTTTAAATATCTCCCTCTTCATATTTCAGTCTAGACCAGTGCTGTCTCATAGAGCTTTCTGTGATGATCAATGCATTCTGTTGTATATCTTCCCTGTTTAATTCAGTAGCCACTAGCCACACATGACTACTGAATGCTTGAAACATGACTAATGCAACTGAGGAACTGAATTGGACATTTTATTTAATTTTAATTCATTTAAATGTAAATAGTCTCATGAGCCTATTGGCTACTATATTGGAGAGTATGGACCTAGATTACTTGAGTGTTTTTAAATTGTGCTTTGATAAACTCTATCAAAATTTAATGAATTGTTTCATTGGAACTGTAAAAACATTTTTTCATACTTTAAATGTGCAACGTTATGCCACATGATAATCACTTGATTATATGTCTGTCTTTCCTGTTTGTTTATTCTATAAATATATTCTGAGGAGGTAACTTTCTCTAGACCTCATGTTAAGCACTGGGAATATGATGGTGAGCAAAACGTGTACAGTCCCTTGCCCTTTGGGAGTTTAGAATCTAGTGTGGGACAGGCAATTGGATAACAACTTCAACAGTGCTCTGATGGGAAAGATAGAACACATGATGACTGTAATACAGGGGAAGCACCTAACCTAAGTTATGGGGGCTTCAAGGATGACTTTCCAAAGTGTAATTGGGACCTGACTTGAGTGAAGGATAAGTAACAGCCAAGTAGAGATCCAGTAAGGAATTTTAAGACAAAACAGAGCTTGGAGAGGTTGAGGAATGTACGTATGTACGATGTGGCTTGAGTATAGGATGGGGGTTGTAAGGGCAGGTTAATGGCAGGGAAATTGCAAAAAGTGAGGCTGAAGAGTAAGAGAAATACATGGATCAGATCATGCATGGCCTTGTGAGCCAACTTAAGGACTGAGAGTCCTTGAGGGACCTTGGTTATATCTGTATCTCCAGGCATTTCATAGCATATAACACAGAGCAGGAATTCAACAAATTTTTGTTCAATCAATGACTGAAAGAAGGAAAATCTGCAAATGATTAGGTAAGTGAATCTGTTTTTTTCTCTTAAGAAAAGTATCCTTGTATAATATGTATCTATATAGCACATAAAAATAATTTTGTACATATATATTTATTTACTTTAAGTTCTGGGATACGTGTGCAGAACATGCAGACTTGTTACATAAGTATACACGTGCCATGGTGGTTTGCTGCGCCCATAAAACCGTCATCTACATTAGGTATTTCTCCTAATGCTATCCCTCCCCTAGCCCCCCACCCCACGACAGGCCCTGCTGTGTGATATTCCCCTCCCTGAGTCCATGTGTTCTCATTGTTCAACTCCCACTTATGAGTGAGCACATGTGGTGTTTGGTTTTCTGTTCCTGTGTTAGTTTGCTGAGAATGATGGTTTCCAGCTTCACCCAGGTCCCTGCAAAGGACATGAACTCATCCTTTTTTATGGCTGCATAGTATTCCATGGCGTATATGTGCCACATTTTCTTTATCCAGTCTATCATTGATGGACATTTGGGTTGGTTCCAAGTCTTTGCTATTGTGAATAGTGCCGCAATAAACATACATGTGCATGTGTCTTTATAGCATCATGATTTATACTCCTTTGGGTATATACCCAGAAATGGTATGGCTGGGTCAAATGGTATTTCTGGTTCTAGATCCCTGAGGAATCGCCACACTGTCTTCCACAATGGTTGAACTAGTTTACAGTCCCACCAACAGTGTAAAAGTGTTCCTATTTCTCCACACCCTTTCCAGCATCTGTTGTTTCCTGACTTTTTAATGATCACCATTCTAACTGGTGTGAGATGTTATCTCATTGTGCTTTTGATTTGCATTTCTCTAATGACCAGTGATGATTAGCTTTTTTTCATATGCTTGTTGGTTGCATGAACGTCTTCTTTTGAGAGGTGTCTGTTCATATCCTTTGCCCACTTTTTGATGGGGTTGTTTTTTTCCTGTAAATCTGTTTAAGCTCCTTATAGATTCTGGATATTAGCCCTTTGTCAGAGGGATAGATTGCACAAATTTTCTTCCATTCTTTGGGTTGCCTGTTCACTCTGATGATCGTTTCTTCTGCTGTGCAGAAGCTCTTTAGTTTAATTAGGTCCCATTTGTCAATTTTGGCTTTTGTTGCCATTGCTTTTGGTGTTTTAGTCATGAAGTCTTTGCCCATGCCTATGGCCTGAATGGTATTGCCTAGGTTTTCTTCCAGGGTTTTTATGGTTTTAGGCCTTACGTTTAAGTCTTTAATCCATCTACAGTTATTTTTTTGTATAAGGTGTAAGGAAGGGGTCCAGTTTCAGCTTTTTACATATGGCTAGCCAGTTTTCCCAACACCATTTATTAAATAGAGAATCGTTTCTCCATTACTTGTTTTTGTCAGGTTTGTCAAAGATAAGATAGTTGTAGATGTGTGGCATTATTTCTGAGGCCTCTGTTCTGTTCCATTGGTCTGTATAACTGTTTTGGTACCAGTATTATGCTGTTTTGGTTGCTTTAGCCTTGTGGTATAGTTTGAAGTCAGGTAGCGTGATGCCTTCAGCTTTGGTCTTTTTGCTTAGCATTGTCTTGGCTATACGGGCTCTTTTTTGGTTCCATATGAAATTTAAAGTAGTTTTTTTCTAATTCTATGAAGAAAGTCAATGGTAGCTTGATGGGGATAGCACTGAATCTATAAATTACTTTGGGCAGTATGGCCATTTTCACGATATAGATTCTTCCTATCCGTGAGCATGGAGTGTTTTTCCGTTTGTTTGTGTCCTCTCTTATTTCTTTGGGCAGTGGTGTGCAGTTCTCCTTGAAGAGGTCCTTCCCATCTCTTGTAAGTTGTAATCCTAGGTATTTTATTATCTTTGTAGCAATTATGAATGGGAGTTCACTCATGATTTCTCTGTTTATCTGTTATTGGTGTATAGGAATGCTTGTGATTTTTGCACATTCATTTTGTATCCTGAGACTTTGCTGAATTTGCTTATCAGCTTAAGGAGATTTTGGGGTGAGACAATGGGGTTTTCTAAATATGCAATCATGTCACCTGCAAACAGAGGCAAGTTGACTTCTTCTTTTCCTATTTAAATACCCTTTATTTCTTTCTCTTGCCTGATTGCCCTGGCCAGAACTTCCAATACTATGTTGAATAGGAGTGGTGAGAGAGGGCCTCCCTGTCTTGTGCAGTTTTCAAAGGGAATGCTTCCAGCTTTTGCCCACTCAGTATGATATTGGCTGTGGGTTTGTCATAAATAGCTCTTATTATTTTGAGATACATTCCATCAATACCTAGTTTATTGCGAGTTTTTAGCAGGAAGGAGTGTTGAATTTTATCGACGCCCTTTTCTGCATCTATTGAGATAATGGTGTGGTTTTTGTCATTGTTTCTGTTTATGTGATGGATTACATTTTTTGATTGGTGCATGTTGATCCAGCCTTGCATCCCAGGGATGAAGCTGACTTGATCATGGTGGATAAGCTTTTGATGTGCTGCTGGATTCGGTTTGCCAGTATTTTATTGAGGATTTTTGCATCGATGTTCATCAGGGATATTGGTCTGAAATTTTCTTTTTTTGTTGTGTCTCTGCCTGGTTTTGGCAACAGGATGATGCTGGCCTCATAAAATGGGTTAGGGAGGAGTCCCTCTTTTTTTATTATTTGGAATAGTTTCAGAAGGAATGGTACCAGCTCCTCTTTGTACCTCTGGTAGAATTCAGCTATGAATCCATCTGGTCCTGGACTTCTTTTGGTTGGTAGCCTATTAATTACTGCCTCAATTTCAGCACTTGTTATTGGTCTATTCAGTATTTGACTTCTTCCTGGTTTTGTCTTGGGAGGGTGTGTGTGTCCAGGAATTTATTCATTTCTTTTAGATTTTCTAGTTTATTTGCATAGAGGTGTTTATAGTATTCTTTAATGGTAGTTTGTATTTCTGTGTGATCAGTGGTAATATCTTCTTTATCATTTTTTACTGCATCTGATTCTTCTCTCTCTTCTTTTTTATTAAGTCTGGCTAGCAGTCTATTTTGTTAATCTTTTCAAAAAATCAGCTCCTAGATTCACTGATTTTTTGAAGGGTTTTTCGTGTCTCTATCTCCTTCAGTTCGGCTCTTAGTTATTTCTTGTCTTCTGCCAGCTTTTGTTTGTTCTTGCTTCTCTAGTTCTTTTAATTGTGATGTTAGGGTGTCAATTTTAGATCTTTCTCACTTTGTCCTGTAGGCATTCAGTGCTATAAATTCACCTCCTCTAAACACTGCTTTAGTTGTGTCTCTGAGATTCTGGTACACTATGTCTTTGTTCTCATTGGTTTCAAAGAACTTACTTATTTCTGCCTTAATTTCATTATTTACCCAGTAGTCATTCAGGAGCAGGTTCTTGAGGTTCCCTGTAGTTGTGTGGTTTTGAGTGAGTTTTTTAATCCTGAGTTCTAATTTGATTGCATTGTGGTCTGAGAGACTGTTTGTTATGATTTGCATTCTTTTGCATTTGCTGAAGAGTGTTTTACTTCCAATTATGTCAGTTTTAGGATAAGTGTGATATGGTGCTGAGAAGAATGCTGAAGTCCAACGTTGATCTGGGGTAGAGAGTTCTGTAGATGTCTATTAAGTCAGCTTGGTCCAGAGCTGAGTTCAAGCCCTGAATATCCTTGTTAATTTTCTGTCTCGCTGTTCTGTCTAATATTGACAGTGGGGTGTTAAAGTCTCCGACTATTATTGTGTGGGAATCTAAGTCTCTTTTTAGGTCTTTAAGGACTTGCTTTATGAATCTGGGTGCTCCTGTATTGGGTGCCTATATATTTAAGATAGTTAGCTCTTCTTGTTGCATTGATCCCTTTACCATTATGTAATGCCCTTCTTGAGTCTTTTTTTATCTTTGTTGGTTTAAAGTCTGTTTTATCACAGACTAGGATTGCAACCCTTGCCTTTTTTTTTTTTTTTTTTTTTTTTTTTGCTTTCCATTTGCTTGGTAAATATTCATCCATCCCTTTATTTTGAGCCTATGTGTGTCTTTGTACGCGACATGGGTCTCCTGAATACAGCACACAGATGGGTCTTGACTCTATCCAATTTGCCAGTCTGTGTCTTTTAATTGGGGCATTTAGCCCATTTACATTTAAGGTTAATATTGTTATGTGTGAAGTTGATCCTGTCATTATCATGCCAGCTGGTTATTTTGCCCGTTAGTTGATGCAGTTTCTTCATAGTGTCAATGGTCTTTACAATTTGATATGTTTTTGCAGTGGCTGTTACCAGTTTTTCCTTTCCATATTTAGTGCTTCCTTTAGGAGCCCTTGTAAGGCAGGCCTAGTGGTGACAAAATCTCTCAGTATTCGCTTGTCTGTAAAGGATTTTATTTCTCCTTCACTTATGAAGCTTAGTTTGGCTGGATATGAAATTCTGGGTTGAAAATTCTTTTCTTTAAGAATGTTGAATATTGGCCCCCATTCTCTTCTGGCTTGTAGGGTTTCTGTAGAGAGATCTGCTGTTAGACTGATGGGCTTCCCTTTGTGGGTAGCTCGACCTTTCTCTCTGGCTGCCCTTAATATTTTTTCCTTCATTCCAACCTTGGTGAATCTGATTGTGTCTTGGGGTTGCTCTTTTTGAGGAGTATCTTGTGGTGTTCTCTGTATTTACTGAATTTGAATGTTGGCCTGTCTTGCTAGGTTGGGGAAGTTCTCCTGGATAATATCCTGAAGTGTTTTCCAACTTGGTTCCATTCTCCCCATCACTTTTAGGTACACCAATCAAATGTAGGTTTTGTCTTTCCACATAGCCCCATATTTCTTGGAGGCTTTGTTCATTCCTTTTCATTCTTTTTTCTCTAATCTTGTCTTCATGCTTTATTTCATTAAATTTGATTTTCAATCTCTTATATCCTTTCTTCCGCTTGATCGATTTGGGTATTGATACTCGTGTATGCTTAACAAAGTTCTTGTGCTGTGTTTTTCAGTTCTATCAGGTCATTTATGTTCTTCTCTAAACTGGTTATTCTAGTTAGCAATTCCCTTAACCTTTTTTCAAGTTTCTTAGCTTCCTTGCATTGAGTTAGAACATGCTCCTTTAGCTCGGAGGAGTTTGTTATTACCCACCTTCTGAAGCCTATTTCTGTCAATTTGTCAAACTCATTCTCCATCCAGTTATGTTCCCTTGCTGGAGAGGAGTTGTGATCCTTTGGAGGAGAAGAGGCATTCTGGTTTTTGGAATTTTCAGCCTTTTTGCACTGGTTTTTCCTCATCTTCATGGATTTATCTACCTTTGGTCTTTGATGCTGGTGACCTTTGGATGGGGTTTTGGTGCAGACATCCTTTTTGTTGATGTTGATGCTATTCCTTTCTGTTTGTTAGTTTTCCTTTTAACAGTCAGGCACCTCTGCTGCAGGTCTGCTGGAGTTTGCTGGAGGTCTACTTCAGACCATTTGCCTGGGTTAACACCAGCAGAGGCTGGAGAACAGCAAAGATTGCTGCCTGTTCCTTCCTCTGGAAGCTTCGTCCCAGAGTGGCACCCACCAGTTGCCAGCCGGAGCTCTCTCGTATGAGGTGTCTGTCGACCCCTGCTGGGAAGTGTCTCCTAGTCAGGAGGCACGGGGGGTCAGGGACCCACTTGAGGAAGCAGTCTGTCCCTCAGCAGAGCTCAAGTACTGTGCTGGGAGATCCGCTGCTCTCTTTAGAGCCAGCAGGCCAGAACATTTAAGTCTGCTGAAGCTGCGCCCACAGCTGCCCCTTCCCCTAGGTGCTCTGTCCCAGGGAGATGGGAGTTTTATCTATAAGCCCCTGACTGGGGCTGCTTCCTTTCTTTCAGAGATGCTCTGCCCAGAGAGGAGGAATCTAGAGAGGCAGTCTGGCTACAGTGGCTTTACATCTATATTTTTATAAGTATAAAATTAGAAGCTAATTAGATATAATGAATGGTCAAGTAAAGTAGACATATTTTCACATTTACATCCATTTCCAAATTTTGTGATACTGAGTTTGTAAAGAAGTCCAATTTCGCTATTTGCTGCATTTGCTTTTCAACAAAAATTGTATTTAGTATTTTCACTAAACTATGTAAGAGCACTTAGCTCGTTGATAACTTTCATCACCATTGTGAAGCTATACAAGTTATAAACTATTTTAAGGCTTTTCCCATCCCAATTTAGGCCTTAATTATTACTGTGCAGAAAACATTTTGCTGCAGCAACTGTTCTTAGATGTCTCTAAATCAAAACAGAAGTCAGGATTCAGGTGACAGCAAATAAAATTTCCAAAATAATAAAATATCAGGTAAATATAATCTCTCATCTCTCATCTTCTCTCCATCTCCCTATGTCCCTTTCCTTCTCTCTCTCTCTCTCTCTCTCACACACACACACACACACACACACACACACACACACACACACAGAGAGAGAGACACACATGTTCTTCCTCTAAAAAGAAAAACCAATAATCCTCTACTGAGACAGTTGTGAATCAAAGGTTTCTTCTGCAGGAGTTACATCCATCTCTGAATTTCCTAGAGAGCAGCAAAGGGCCTTGTGTTTTATTCCCCTTCCACACTTAATCACTGGACTGTGGGCCCAGACTGAATGAGTAGCTCATTAGAATCACTGAGTTCACTGAGGGGATGAGAGATTCCTTCCTGGCTGGGTGCTAAGTGATACTCCCATAAGGATTTTGTGGTTACAAAACGTGCTGGATATGGAGGTAACCTGTCTGGGAGTCCTGTCACTCCAAGGATCACTTGGAATGCTCTGGAAAAACACATGACCTGGCTGAATGAGTTCTGTTGAATTGTTTAGCCTACACCTTCATTTCAGCAGCTTATACTGCATTAATGAGGTTATTGTTCCTTTGCCGTCCAATTGTTCCCAAGCTGATTTTTTGCATATATGTTTTACATCCTTAACAAGAATGCCTGTCTCCTGCTGTTTCAGAGTCTCTTCCACAGTGCTGAGCATGAGTGGAGCTTGCTAAATCATTGCTAAATGAAGCAATGGGCTGTAAGCATGTCCTGTGGGATCTGCATCTTCAGATCATCCTGAAGTACTCAACAACCACATCTTCTTCCAGGAACAGAGCCCAACATAAACTGGTAGGGTTTGCTGTCTTAGACAGCTAAGAGAACGAGGAGTGGAGCTAGTGAACAAGCAGTGAAGGGGGCAGTTCCTTAATGCCATCCGAACTGAATTTCAACAGTCTGACAAGCTAGCGTTTTGGGTAAATATCCCAGTATACTTGTCACAGAGTTAAGTAAAATGGACTTCCTTCAAAGGAAGTGCTTTTAATACAATAACTGTTTTTGTTTTTTTAACCAATGGATTAAAAATTTAACACATTTACTAAATCTGGCATATTTATATATTGTATCTAAACAGATATTCAAGCTGCATTATAATATAATCATAAAAAAACTGATCTCAGTCTGTCTGTTAAGCCTTTGTGAGTCTTTGTGCCATTGTTGGAGTAGTGCTAATTATCAAGCAAAGACATGATAATTACGCAGAGCTTTTTTGCTAAAAGAAGGAATCTTTTTCAACACCCACGCACTGCACAATTTCCTATGACCCTGTAGCACTACTCTGGTATGGCCCAGAAATTTGTATTTCTGTGTAAAGGCTGGAAATTATATTATTTCTATCTCTCCCGATACCTTTTCTTCTTGTGAGTAAACTGTTTTTAGAGGGTTAAGGAAGAGGGGTAATGGTCCAAATGGGAAATATAAAACTAATGACCCTTCATGAAACATATTATGCTCCTCATTAAACTTATTCAGTTAAATGTATTCCATTAAATTAAAATAAATAGGATTTAAAATTTTACCCAGGAGCAGTAAACAATCTTAACTTTTGACTTTATGGTAGATCCATTCTAAGAACGAATTCAAATCCCTGATGTATCATAGGTCTTTGCCTCCAGCACAATTTATGTACTAGTGCTGCAGAGGTTTTCAAATTTAGTGTGTCTAAGAATTACTTGGGAACTTTTTTTTTTTTTTTTGAGACGGAGTCTCACCCTGTCGCCTGCGCCAGAGTGCAGTGGCGCGATCTCGGCTTGCTGCAAGCTCTCCCTCCCGTGTTCAGGCCATTCTCCTGCCTCTCGAGTAACTGGGACTACAGGCCCCCTCCACCACGCTCGGCTAATTTTTTGGATTTTTAGTAGAGACGGGGTTTCACCATGTTAGCCCCGATGATCTTGATCTCCTGACCTCATGATGCGCCTGCCTTGGCCTCCCAAAGTACTGGGATTACAGGTGTGAGTCACCGTGCCTGGCCTACTTGGGGAACTTTTTATAAATGCAACTTCCAATCCAGATTCCCTCTTCACCAAGTGTCTCAAGTATCCTAATTTCAGTGATGCAGCACTTTGAAAAATATTCCATGTGAAGATGATGTAAATTTTATCAAGCTTAGCGGTCCCATCTTACTTCTTTTTCCATGATCTCTGTTATTACTAAAATGTGGAAAAGCCAAATATGTGAAGAATGCATAATTCAGGGAGTTGAACAGGACGGACCCACAATGTGTTAGACTTACATGTTATGTTCATCCAAATAATTGAGCCATCCAATCTCTAGATTTGGCCCAAAAGCCTCGAAGTGTCTTTTTGAGAGATTCAGAGATTTAATCTATTGATGTTAACAAGAAAATGGAACTGGTTCTTTACTCCTGTTTTACAAGTATTGCTTTTTTAAAAATTATAATCTTGCAAAAGCACTTTCAAATCCAATGCCTTCATTTTTGAGATGAGAAAACGTCAGCCCAGAGAGGTACCCAACTCACCACACTGCACAAAAGTGCAAGACAAGGATTCAAATGAAAAACAATGACTCTTAACCCAGTGCTGTTTTTGTGGCATTTAAAGAAGTCTGACTTTCAAATATCCACCTATCAAAAAATATGAAGTTTTCATACAATATATGAAGTGGGTTTTTTTGTTGTTGTTGTTGTTAAACAGACAGGGTCTTGCTCTGTCACTCAGGCTGGAGTGCAGAGGCACAATCTAGGCTCACTGAGGCCTTGACCTCTCAGGCTCAAGCCATCTTCCCCCTTCAGCCCCCCAGGTAGCTGGGACCACACATGTGTGCCACCATGCCTGGCTAATTTTTGTATTTTTTTTGCAGAGACGGAGTTTTGCCATGTTACCCAGGCTGCTCTCAAACTCCTGAGCTCAGGCAATCTGCCCACCTAGGCCTCCCAAAGTGTTGGCATTATAGGTGTGAGCCACCACACCTGGCCAATATATGAAGTTTTAAGTTGCCTTCAAGTCATATAATATATTCCTAAGAAAAACCCTCAGAAGATGAATGTTCTAGGTTTTAAACTCCTTTAAGAAAGCAAATTTTAGAAGTCAACATATTTTCCAATTGGCTCATTATGGATCTACAGCATTTCACATGACATTAAGGACTAGCAGTTCCAGTGTAATGATAAATTCCAACTCAAATTCTTTTGTTACCCTGACTTTTGTTATAATGGTTTTAGTAATGAGATGGAGTTTTTAGTAAATAGTTGTTTTGTTTTCTGAATTTATTTTACATAAGTATTAGTGCACACACACAAGCAGTGTTCACCTTCATATTTTTGTACTTTCATATTTATATGCAAATAAAAAACTATCTGAAATGCATAGGTAAATTTTATCAGTGATCCTAAATTTCAAGATCAAGGCAAGCACACAATTCAAATTATCAATGAAAAACTAAAATAATGCATAGTATTTTAAGCACATATCACCCTAGGTCTATTTATCATTCACTTTTGTTTCTCTGAAATTATTTCCTTGGCCTCGTTAAGGCAAAAATAAAATATAATAATCAGCTCAATACTTTTGAAAAACTTTCAAATAAAAACAAAGAAATGAGAATTAGTCTTAGACAATTGTAACAGGTAAAAGGGAGATGGATGTGGGAGGCATATTCATTTGATCAGGATTAGCACTACATTTTTTTACAATGTGGAACCAGTCTAAGCAATGGCAAGAATGACGTGTACTCTGGCAAACTGGCTCTTGAGTACATACTTTTGAAACACTTATTAATTTTCTTTTCATTCTGAGAAAGCAGGCACAATCTAGGGAAGCCAGAGTAGACAAATAGATTAAGAAAATAGGCAGATGGGAACCATCCTTATTATACCTCTTCCTTTGTTTTGTAGTCTTAATCATTGCTCATGAAGGGTACTACAAAGTATTTAAATAGGATCGATGCTGAAAAGGTTTAAAATGTTCCAGCCAATGTAACTAACCTGCACAATGTGCACATGTACCCTAAAACTTAATGTATAATAAAAATAAAATAAAATAAAATAAAATGGGAAAAAAAATGTTCCAGCCAAAACTGTATGGTATGTTACTTATGCTAACACATCTAAAACATTTTTGACTTTCAGCATCATGCTTATTTATTTTGGGCACAATAAAACAATTTTTTAAATCTGACATTGATTAAACACTGAGCTAACATTTAGAAATTCATTTTCATCTGATTTCTGATTCCATGTATATTAACAGTTTTCATTGATATATATAATGATATAATTTTTAGGAAAAAACATTTCTAGGAGAATAATTGCCTTTACTCTTCCAGCAAGAAAGCATTCAGAATAATGAGTTACAAAGAAGAGACATAAATCGAAAAACTGAAAGTGTAAGGTTGGGGTGAGTTCATTTTTAAATACGTTTTTTCTTTGATGATGCCGGGAAACTATTATATACCTAAAATAAATGATCAGAAGTGTCTAAAATATGGATGAGCTATTCCCTGGCAAGAGTTCCCAACCATGGTGTCCTGATACACAGCTGTGGACAATGACCACTTGCCAAAGATGAAGCAAATAGTTTGACACTGGTACTTGATTTCTAGCAAAGACCAGATCTTACATGGTCTCTATCATCACATCACTCTAACTTTTGAAGGGGAGAGAAAAGGTGGAGTAAGAGTTGCGATAGATAATAATCCTGGGTCTATCTATGGGACTATGAACATCTTAAGAAAAAGAACATGATGTGTGTATGTGTGTGTGGCAGGGGGAGGTCCAAACTCCCCTGCTTGCGGAGGCTTGGGGCTCACCACGCATGCTCTCTCACCTCCACGATGTCTGAGTTTGTCCGGCTCTCATGCGGCTCGTTGTACTCCGTGTACTTGAGAAGCACTTTGTCCATGTCGGTGCTGGCATACTGGAACAGCTTGTTGGTGCTGTTGAAGATGATCAGCGCAATCTCACAGTCACACAGCACGCTCAGCTCATAAGCCTTCTTCATCAACCCAAATTTCCTCTTTGTAAATGTCACCTAGAAAAAAGAAAGCAGCCAAGATTTTTTAAAAAATATTCATGCATGTGTGGTTTTTTTCTTTTCTTTTTTCTTTTCCTTCACAAAACAATGGTGTGTAGTTGTCAGAGCCCTGGGCACTAACACATTCAGAAAGAAAGCAAATAAATCTAATATTAATTTCTGCTTATCATTTGAAAATGTGTGATTTCTAGCTTGCTGCTGAATGTGAGACTCTAAATGCAAGATTTAATGTAGGGTATTTTAATGAAGGTGACCAGGGAACTGGTCATGTTTCTTTGAGCAAGTTAAGATTTAAAAAAAAATTAATTTCAGCATGGTTAGCATATTTCCCAATTAATAATTAGTTTGGAGCTTGTTTTTGACTATTTGAAGAGTGGACATGACATTAGGAACTTAGCATTTTAGATCTGTGTTCAAACAAGTCTTAAAATTGTCTAGTCTCATGTCATTTAATTGAAAACACTTGAAGGGATATGACTGTGATCTCAGACGATGTTGTATTCTGTTTTCTAGAAACCCAACAGGGCACTGGGAAGTCCGTTAGCCATCATATGCTTAGGGTTTTGGTTTCATTCTTCTGTGTATCTTTCTTCTTCTCTCAGGTCAGAAACTGTATTGTTAATGCCACCATTTTCTTCTTTTAATCTAATCTATTACCAAGACCCATAATTCCTTTCCTCAAAATATTTCTCAGGTTCACACTATTTCCCAGGCAACTCTATCACTGATGTCCTTATCACTTCAATTTTGGACAGCCTAGCAGCTTCCTGTCCTCGATGATCTCCCTGCCTGGAATCATTCCTTCCTCAATTTAACTCAAACTGCAAAGCCTCACTCTTCCTACTGTCTTTTTCCTGATGAGCTGCCTACAACAGCTCCCTCTCCCTGGCTTTGAAAACTTCCTACCTGCCAATCCTACCAAATGCAAAAATACATTTCACTCTTCCCAATTTCAACTCTCTTTTAATTGAACTTCAGCTTGTTGCTCCAGTCTGGCTACTGAAAAGGCGTGAACATTCTTTTTTTTTTTTTTTTTTTTTTTTTTTGGAGACGGAGTCTCTTATAAACCTTTATATGGTCCAGTGTTTCCCATCTACAGAATGAATACCTGTTTCCCAACAGGTATTCATTCTGTAGAGTACTGTTCCTATAAAATACTCCTTAAGAAAAAAGTTCAGTGGCCTAATATGTTTGGAAAAAGAGGCACATTGGTATATGAAAGGCTATGAAACCTTTTAAACTTTGTTTAACTTGCTTTTCGAACCTATTGCTGACATATCGTTTGTTTCTTTGCATATTTATTTATTTTGAGGAGCACTTACTATCACTCTTCAGAACTAGGTTTTTGAGGCACATATTCTGGGAAAAGCTAATTTACTTAATTAAGCTACTGTTTTCAGAATGAATCATTTAAACTTTTTTCATACCTTCAAATCCAACCCACCTTGCAGAGAGGCCAGCTCATTTTATCACAGATTTGTGTGTAATTCCTAATTGCATATTCCTACCCTTCATCTTTCTCTTTGTCTCCAGACACCCAATGCATGTCCTCCAGTTCCACACCTGTCTAAACATCCTGGATTCTCAAACCTTCCAAAGTTCAACCTCATTATCTTCAGTCTAGAATCTGCAGCCCCTTTTGGAATCCCCATCTCACCATAAACTCAGTCATCCAAACTAGAAACCTCAGAGAGAACTCTGAATCCTGGCCTGCCACCTTCTCCCACTCCCCACCCTCCCCCACAACTAAATAGATTTATGTTGACAAGGACTGTGGACTAGCAGACAGAAAGCCTGACCTCCCAGTCTCCTCATTCCTCCACATTTTGTTAATTATTGTTTTACTTATCACCTTTTATTTTTCCTTCATGTTACAATCACATTTTATATTTTCAAATATACAAAATATACACAAAAATATACCAAATATATACAAAAATATGCAAAATATATTTTGTATATAAAATATGCAAAATAAAAAATACAAAACTGTTTATATTTTCCTGTGTGATCTGTTTAACCTCTCTTCCACTACAGCGCATGCTCCACAAGGGTATATGCCGTTTTTATTTTGCTCACTACTTTATCCCCAGTGCTTAGACCAGTAGACATGTGTGGGCACATGGTAAAAATCCATGGTATAAAAATTGATAGGGGAAGCTACTATGTGAAATCTTCAGAAAGATACAATTGATGTATGTATATATGTGATAAATTTTCCCATGAAATTTTTTTAACAACTCATATGCAAAATGTTTTAACAATACATATATTCCTTACTTAATAATAATTACACTATTTTATCATATGACATTGAAGGTAGTATGGTAGAAAGCAAAGAACATAGGGTTTGTATTTAGAGAACTCTGAATTTGAATGCCGAATTTGCTAGTCATGCGAAATTCACTTAACAACTTCTCTTTTGTTTGTTTGTTTTTTGAGACAGGGTCTCCCCGTCTCCTAGGCTGGAGTGTAGCGGTACTAGAATAGCTAACTGCAGCCTCCACTTTCCAGGGTCAAACCATCCTCCCGCCTCAACCTCCGGAGTAGCTGGTACTACAGGCGTGCACCAACATGTTCTGGCTTTATCTTTGTTTGTATTTATTTTTACTAGAAACGAGGTTTCCCTATGTTACCCAGGCTGTTCTCAAACTTCTGAGCTCAAGCGATCCTCCCGCTTAAGCCTTTCAAAGTGCTAGGATTACAGGCATAAGCCACCGTGCCTCGCCTCACTTTAAATAAAGTTCTTTGAGTTTGATTTTTCACATTTGTAAAACAGAGATTTATACCTACTCTTAAGGCTGTTGTGAGGATTGTATCCAATAATGTGTGTATAGTATTGAGTATAATGCTTAGAGTAGGTGCTCAATAAATATTAGTTCCCCCAAATTTCTTAGTTGACTTAACCAAAAAAGAAGAACTAGCAAAATATACTTGTCTTGGTGACTTGAAGAGTCTACCAGTTATGGCTATTTGAAGATGTTATTATGACTGATAGAAAGATAAAGCTGTAGTGACCATCGTTTGGAAAATAAGGCATTTAGATATTTACTAGCCCATATCAACTAGTCAATATTTACTCAGTTACGTTATTTACATTTCAACTTGGATAATTCTTCTTTCTTGTAATTGTCAGTGTTTTTCACCTTCTATTTCATCTTTATTGATTGTCTTTCTAAAGTACTTCTGAAAAAATATAGCTAGTGTTTTATTTTCATATCTGATTATCATACTACTTTAGAAACTTTTATTCTGTTTTATGCAGATGAGTCATAATTGATATTAAGGATGGGCTGAAAACCATCTTTTTGGAATGAATAAAGAAACATAATCATTAATTACACAGAGCTGCACTAAATGTCTTTTAATATTTCTTTTAGATCCAATTTTGATATGAAAATGTACCTGCATATTGGCATTTTACTTAGTGAAATAGGCTACAGAATACGTTCAATACAGAAGGCACTGACCTAGACTACTTTCATATATCTAAAACCACTTTTAATCAGACTTCATGACCACAAGCTATATGTGGAATGTCTCAATACAGTATGGTTTCTGTTGTACTCAGACCTCAGAATTTTGCACGTTACAACACTCATAATCAAAGTACATTTCAGTACAGAAATATCATTAATGTCACTATTTGTGTTTACTTTTAGTGCTCCTCAATTTTTGTGTAACCAAATAGGCTGCTGGATAATGAATACTTATTTAATAATACCCATCAAAGAAGTCAGTGCATATAGCTTCTTCTGCAATTTAAAACTGCAAACTGAAATGATGACTGTATTAAAGCACGTAAGAAAATATCTTCAAAATCTACTCTTAATTGCTCTAAATTTAATTCTGCATTATGTTCATATTCTTCATAGCATTCTCAAAATGTATTTTATAATGCTTTTTCTCATTGTTCATAGTTAGATAAAATTATTTTTAAGCATTAGGCTTTCTAAAGAGATCTGGAATATAACTCTTCATTTAAAATATGCCACTCAATAACAAAGATTTCAATTCTGCGCTTTTATACTTAAATAATGCCTTGTGATGGTTACATTTTTCTTAACTTGATAATAGTTTGTAATGGGGACAAGTCCATATTTCTTTTTAAATAACATGTTTGGAACCTTAGGTGAGGCAGAAAGAGGTTTTTACAGTAGTTAGGCAAAGAGTCTCTCTTTTCCAGTATTTACATAAGTCAACATGTTATCAAATTAAAGAGACTTAATGTGTGATATAGCATAGAAAGCAGAACTACTCTGTATGTTTTTTATTTTATGTTTTTCCTTTATATTTTTGAATCTTTAAATAGCCCCAAATGTGATGATGGTATGTTAAGTTTTATAGTGGCCCTGACTTTTAAATCCTAGAGTAAGGACAGATACCATACATCTTATGTTGATAATGGCTCTAGAACCTATTAGGTGCGAAGGAAAAACAGAAATTAGAAGTTGAAATTGAGAAAAGAAACATTCATTAAATATAGCACCATACAAATCAGTTACTAAAAATTTAAGAAAGTCTATTCACAAAAAATATAAAAATAATTTGGCCAAGTTTTATGGAGCATTTTCCGCATGTCAAACATTATGCTAAGCAATATTTATTGAATATTCTCTATGTCAGGCATTTGTGCTAGGTACTGTGGCTTCCATTACATAAAATAATATCTCCCTTGTTCATATCAGTTCCTTGTGGCTGGACAAAAAAAAGTCATTTAATTCCATAACGTTTAAAAGGAATTTTCTTTATTTGGAACAAAATGCATGACTTGGCCAACAGAGTTATATTTTCAGTCATATCTAATAATCTGAATTCGTATTTTTATTTAGAGTTGGGTGAATTCAGTTTTTTTTTCAGACTAACTTTTTCTCTGGACTGAGCTAGAAAAATAATAGTAGATGTAAATTCAGTCAAGATGAGTACGAAATGAAATCTACCTTACTGGTTATTTCTAATCTTGACTTGGTGAAAGCTGATTGTGGTATTACTCCCATCTCTCCTTTTCCACCTGGCCACTGGATGCACCCATCACGCTGTAAGGGTTAGTTTAAATGCCAACTTCTTTCTTTGATGCTTTCCTTGTCACATTCAGATAAAACTCATTCCTTTCTCATTGTAGTCCTCCAGCACTTTTTACAAATCTTTATTATGAGACTTACTCCAGTATTACAAAGTTGGTTGTATATGAGTTTTCCCTTCTGCCAGATTTGAATTCCCCAAAGACCATCCCTCAGGCCTCTCACAGACTCTGACCAGTGGCCACTCAATGAACCTTTGCTGAACGAATGGATTATGGAATGGAAATACTCCATTTTGAAGTCTGAATGTTTCGGTATAATTTTATGTTAGAGTAGATGCTTTTTTACTTGCCTTTTAAATAATTTAATCTCTCAAAAATAGAGATTTTGGACACATATACCTTTATTTTACTACAATGTTTAGCTTATTAGTGACACAAATCTTAAGATAAAGTAATTACACTATCTTGGAATTTATAATAAAGAAGGTAAATGATGTCTGGAGAAAAATATATATGTAAATATGCTGTAGACTTCAAGAAAAATATACTTCAAAAAATTCAGAGAAAAGTTTTTTTCTTTTTTATCCCTTGCCTGGATAAAAAAGATGAAAGATAAAAAAGTCTGAAGATAAAAATTTAATTTTACAATCACAGGATACAGAAAGAATGGGGAGGATCCATGGGTTCAGGATGACTGAGTTTGTTCAGCAAAAATGTACTGAACTTTCTGATGAGTTCAGATTTTCAAAGAATAAGCATTTGGAAAAGTGATGAAATCCTCATGCACAATTTGAGACTGGATGGTAGTAATTTAGCTGATTTAAATATGGCTGATGAACTATAATTAATGAGGCCGACTTAATTGATCAATGTTAAGTTTATCAAAAAGTCTCTAGTAAAGTGCCATAGAATTCAGTACTTTTCCCATCCCAGGAGACATTTTTGTCATTGGTTTAGATGGGTATATAGGAAGGCAGGCTTATCAGATCTGCATGCAACGTAAATCTGGGTGCTTGAGCAAACCCAGTAGGTGATAAGAGTCTATATCCATAGCGCCTTCTACAGCCTTTAGAAAGCTGGGTCACAATCAAGATGAATCAAATGAAGGTAATTTTAAAGTCCACATTCATATTTTTAAAAAACAATTACAAAAGTTCAGGTTGGGGATAATTAAGGAATTTTGGGAAAGGATCTAAAGTTTTAGCGTTCTATAGTGGTAATTAATTATCCTACTGATCTTTTTGTTTGTCAGAACCATCTTTGGTAGCATATTCAGTTCTGAGGGTGACATTTTAAGAAAGCACTGACAAAATTAGAGCATCTACAGGATGGTAAACAGACTGATGTAGGGTCTGAGAACAATCTGGCATGAGGAACCATTGAAAGAATCTGGAATGTATAACTCAGAAAAAAATAGAATTAAAAGTGAAATGCTAAACATTTTCTAAGGTCTGAAGCATATGTCCATGCGAAGAGGCAAAATTAGTAAGCATTGTTGAAAATTAGAAAGAGATTCAAAACAAGGGAAAATCTAGTGATGAGAACTTCCCACCAAGCAGGAAGCAGCTCATTTCTGAATATGTTCACATAGAGCTGCATATCAAGGAAGGTGTAGAAGGGGCTCCTGAATTAAGCAGGAAGTTGGACTAGAGACCTTTAAAATATTTATTCTAATTTTTAGATGTTCTTAATCTATGCCTAAGTATCATAGGGCTTTGAGTTAAGAGCAAATGGCAATATGGTTCACCAAGCATGCACCCTACAGAATCTCCTATGTTTTAGTTACTCAATCCCACCCATACATTATCGCCTCTAATTTCCATATTTCAAGAAATAAAATAACTTTTTTTGTAGCTAGACGAGACACAAAAGACTGTAAAGAATTTGAGTAGACAACATTAAATGATGTACTGAAAATGCACAGAAAAATAATTATCCAGATTGATAAAACAGCAAATTCACATTATTAAAGACATTTTAAAGAAACAGGATACATGCATCATGACTGGGGCAGTACAATGTAGAAAGAAAAACATAAAAATTGAAAACCAAGTCCCAGCTCTGCCTTTTATGAGCTGTGTGCCCTTGCGTAAAATTGCTTAACTTACCGGAACCCCAGTTTCCTCACCTGGAAAGTGGAGATAATAACAGGCATCATATAGAGTTTTGTGAGAGGTCAAGTAAGGGATATAATACCAGTGTAAATAACTTGTTAACTGTGAAACACTTTACAAAGCAAGTAGTATCTTCTCTGATGCACCAGGCTTAGTCGCTCCTTGAAACATACTGTAAAAGACTGGTCTCCTAGGACCTGTCAGCTTGTGTTACCATTATTTACTTAGGTCTAGATTAGAGTGTCTCTCTCAGCTATATCCTAGTTTTTCTCGAGTACCTGGGCCATCTTTTGCTCATTCTTGTAACCTGACAACCAATAATAATACTTGGCTAAATAAATAAATGTTGATAGAATGAATAGATATATGGACAGAGGAATTATAGTGTTTTTTGTAATCCAAAATGAATAGCTGAAAATAAATTTCTATGGATGCTCAGACTATGTTAACAAGAAGTTTGCTACTGAGAGAGGGAAATTTCACATACTTGTTTTATTTTATTTTTTTGTCATTTTAACTTACAGTAGAAACTTACATTTGGTAAAATTAATCAGGAGAAAAAACTGGACTTGGTCAAATTTTGTGTGTGGGTTGGTTGGTGCAAGTGAAGCATATCAGATTTCTTATATTATTTTTTAGATAACAGTGTTGCTTATTTGATAATTTTTTCTAAGAAGTTCAACGATTTTATAATTAATTATCTCCCTACATTCGACAGTATCTCTTTGAACTTATTCTTTAGCACAGTTTATCATCCCTATTTTTCAGATGAATACCGTAAACAAAGACATGAATAGCCTTATCCAAGGTCCCCAGACTTGTTCCTGGATGGACTAGAAAACCAACCCTCTTCACACAAAGTGCATCTTTCTTTCTGTTAGTTAGTGTTCCTTCCCTCTTTTAGATAACTATGGATTTTAGGGGCTGAAGTTCAGCTCAATATGGACCCAGTCAACTGTTTATTGAGCAGTATGCAGGCACTGTCATTTGTAATGTTACATTAAGAACCATCAGAAATTCTGATAAGTGCAAGCACAGTAATGCATAACATTTTAATTAACGTAAGGACTGCTTTCTAGGTTAAAGTCAAAAAATAATACTAAGAACACTAAATTGAGAGCCAGTTGGTTTCTAGGTTCTGACAGTAAATCAAAGCTACTTTTGTATAGACTCTGCAGCCAACTCTGCCCTCAGACGCTCCGGCCATTCCCACTACAGCCACTGAGAACCACATGCATGCACTAGTGGGCACAAACTAGTTCTATATTTATGGATGTTTATTTTAATTTCAGAAAATGGGAAGAATTTTGGTTGGTAGTAAATACAGGTCTGCTTACAGCTAGAATAAAAAAAGGTGGCCCTCTGATTTACACAGGCAATGTAAATAACAAGTTCTAAAAACAGAGAAGGAGTCCTGTATCATTTCCTACAGGGTAGGGAAATTAGTTTGACTACTGTGAAATGGAAAGGGCATTTCATAATCTTTCTCCACTCCACACGCCTGCCCCCTCCCTCACCCTCCCAGGCCCAGCCCCATTCATAAAGTCACCTCAGAAGAACTTTCCTGCCATTTTAACTGTGGTAACTGTTCTTGCACCTTGCAGGAAAGAGTTCTGAAAGAAAAGGACCTTTAGAAACAGCAGCTACTCACATCTATAATAATAATTGAGGCCCAACTGCAAATTGCCTCAGACATATCACTAAGGGAAGCAACAAAAATCTGATCTATGGGTCCCAAATACTTCTTTCCACCAAACACAATATTTTTAGCCTAATCTTAATTGAACCTTACAGTGCTCAATGAATGGATAATTTTTTATTTTTTTATTTTCACCATTCTTTAACTCATAAATAGTAGTTTCTTTGTTTTAGGATGTGTTTGGGATTCGTATACCCAGCTAATTCTATTTTCAAAGGTTTGAGGTTTGATCATTTTTTTTCCCTCCAAATAAGAGTCATGATAAATATAACCCTCATTATGTGAAAATATTTCAGGTCGGCTACTCCACCTCATCCCCCCACCTAGATAATCTCTCAGTTTCCTCCCAGTTGAGGAAACAGAATGACTAATGAGTGACAGATGGACAGTTCACAGATACAATACACTCTGTAATCCAGGAGCCACAGGTCTTCCTATGTGTTTAAAGGGTTAGGGCTGGAGTCAAGAGTCTGCAACGACAATCTTTAATTGGGAAAAAGGGAAATGCCCTCCTAAATGCTCTTTCTCCACCTCCCTTGTTCCTGACAGTAAGTAATGGCACAAATGTTCTAAAGTATTCTTCTTCAGTTTTATTTTGTTTAATTCAGTCTGTCATTAGAAAGGCTCGCGAGCTTTAGGCCCGATGATTACTCTCGGTGGGAGGAAGCAGTGCCTCTGCAGACTTGTGTTCTAGACAAGCGTTCCTTTATACAATGACGGGGCCTGCCATCGTAAATGAAAGGCTCTTTAAAGAGCAGCGAGGGACTCTTTTAAGCAGACTGCTACCACGTGCTTGTAACCCTCCAGCATAACTTGCGAGGATGAGACAGCAGTGTGTTCTGCCGCAAAGGGGACTATTGTCCTCGTTAGCCTCAAGCAAATTGAGCCTCCGTTTCGCTGAAATACAGTAGTATTTCCAAAGGATTTTCAAGCAGTAGTTCCTAAAATTCTGAACATGATAAAAGGATTAAAATAAGGGGCTTAGAGTGTGGAATTTAGAACTCTACCAACCCCTCACCCTAAGTCAACATCCCAAATCCCAAAATAAAACTCCAAATCTTATGCATTGGAGGGAAAATAATAAATCACAGTTAGATCTAAATTAAATAATCGAATGCACATTAATGAAACGAGTGTTTATTAACAAACTCATAAAAGTTTGAGTTTTAAAATTTGTGACAGCTGAATTCTGATGCATTTGTCTGCATGAGGAAAAGGAAGAAGGATGACCGAAAATTGTTAACTTGATCAGGATATAAGAGATTTTACTGTGGCCCATTTTAAGGCCTAGGAATGTTTTGCCTTTTGAAAAGAGAAGACTAACACAGCAGGCTTCACATTTTTTATATGGGCTGCTCAAGTCTGCCTGGTTTGTTAAAGGGCTAATTTTCATTCTAAATCCAATCTGTAGATGCAGTCATAAAATAAATACCTTTGTTTCTCTGTATCTCATCTACATAAGAGATATAATTTGAATCTGAGAAGAATCAAATAAACCAGATTAATATTTTGGGGGCAAAAACATGTTTACTAGTTCAACAAAGCCAAATGTACCTAAGGGAAAGGTCAAAGGATACTTCATTCCCTGCTGAGCAAATGCTCAGGAAGCACATTTGTCTACATTTTCCTGTCATAACAGGAAGAGTGTAACTTCTTCCTTTCCACAATAGCCTAGGTTTTACCTCCTAACTCCAATATTTTCTCCCCCAGGGCCTTCCAAATCAATCCTTGCAAGACAGAAGGCTGTCTCCCTTATAGTTTCCAAACAGTTACATTTGTTGAAATGTTATTTAAATGTTAGTGATTTCTTTAGTTAAACTGTTCCAATTTAAAATTAAAAGTCAAATTTCCAAACATTTAGACTGGTTCTCTAATTCTTATTAATGGTCCAACATATTTCAAAAGAAACACAAATACACATTACATATTATCAATTTTTAATTTTTTTCCTTAATGATGTCATTTACTTAATTTTTTAAAATTTTTGCCAAAGCCATTATCCTCAGAAAAAATAAGTTTCCAAACTACCTTCAACAAGAATACATTGGGATGCAAACTTTAAAAATACCCTAATAATTTTTGAAGTAGTTTCATTTTGAACTAAATGTTAAAGAAGTGCAGACTGCAGAGGACATGGCTTTTGAAACAATTAGCATCATGTCTTTTAATCTACAGTTTGGAAGAAACTTCTCGGTGTATGTAGTCTATTTATAATGTTAATATTTTTAGTGTTGGTTTCTCAGTAATACAATGTCACACAGTTTGTGCATTTGCAAAGCTAAAGGTGACTTGTAGCAGACAGAGTGGTGTGTGCATGCATTCCCAGAGGTGAAAGGGGCCATTCAGTATCAACTTTCTTCACAAAATGAGATACAATAAATAAAAGCATCAGATTCTTTTTAAATTACAGTTTTAAGTAGAAATTATATGAGATATACAAATTAGAACTGGAAACAATAAAAACCCTTGAGGCCCTCAAGTTCAAAGAAGAGTGACAGAATTCTAGAAGTGACAATTATTCTTTTCCTTATGAAAATGTTGGCCTCTCTCAGATTTCCTACCAAAGGAAAGTGAATGAATGAGATTGACGGGAGTTGGAGCAATATCTTTCTGGCAGTAAAGGAGTAGATCTAGCTGACATAAATATAAAATATCATGCACCGAACAGGATAAATAGTAATATGTGTGGCACACTGTTGCTGTGATCCTACTACATGGTGGGGAGATTATTTGTGAATTCTTTTCAAATTGCTAAGGGATAAAATGGAAATGAATGGCCTGAGGCCACAGCTGTTAAACATACATCTGAGCATTCTGCCTACTGCTTTTTTTTTTTTTTTTTTTTTTTTTAATTTGGAAACTCTTACAAGTATTATTTAGGTCATTTTCCCTTCTGGTTTTCTTTTTCAACTCTTCAATCACCAGCAATTCCAAATCTTTGAATAAAAACTTTTCCCTTGGTAATTTTAAGATTAATAAAAGAATGATTTAACTTATATGCATGAGGAGCTTTTAAGAAGGCATCCCCAATATGTGGCAATAGACCCTATAATTCAATTCTGATGGGTATGATGTCCTAAAATATTACTATGACACACCCTTATTTTATTTATATGAAATAAGTTTAGTATAATTTTTAATACAAGTGTTGGGGAGGCAGGCATCTGTTAAGAAATGATACTAAGAAAAAACAATCATCATCATCATTATTATGAGGTATTTGCAGGCTTATTTTGGATTAAAAGATAGGAAAATCAATAATTTTTCACTGATTGAGCTTTTTTTCACTAGGTCTGAAAGAGATTCCAGATACTTCTTGATTAACAAGTATAATTCTTCTACAGTATTTAAAGAAAAACTCACAAGTCTGGAAATTCTGTTTGTGGAGGTGGCCAAAAAAAGTGCATTTAGCAGTGGAGACTGCATCTTCCATCTATTCTCCAACTTATGGTTTGGAATTCACCGAAAAATTATTTTTTTGAAGCAATTAATTTGTATTTCTCAATTATCCAGTTACTCACATTTAAAGAGTGAATGTATCTCTCTTTCAACAAATTTTCTATTAGGTTATTAAGATGTAACTCCCAAATTTAGAACTGTAATTAACTTGATGAAAACCAGGAAAAAGTAAGGAGTAAAATTTTTTCTTTTTAAAGAGTCACTTGAGGGAATCTATACATCTCTTTTTATTTTTCAGTTTAGTGTCGAATAGACCAGATTTAGTTTGAAAACACATCAGTATGTAGAAACTGTCAGAAGCTGCATCTACACTGAACACATTTTTCCAGCTTTTTTCCTAGTTCATCTTATATAATTTATAATTCATATGAAGAGACTGAGATGGGGACATAAGAAGAGGGAAAGTTAGAAAATGTAACAGCTATGAACTCTGAATTCTTTTAGTCATAAGGGGATTCTCCTGTTCTATTAACAGAATGTTGCAAATTGTCTTTAGTTTGTGCTCCAGTTATTGCACTGATAATTACATGAAGTTTTGTTTGCTGGCAAAAACTATTAGTGTGCCAGATCTGATGAAAGAAAAGAAAACTTAAGGCATTTAAATATATTTCTTTCTTAACTTACTATTTTAAGCCCTAACTGTGTTATCTGACAAATATTTAAATGTCTTTTTATAACAAGTTGCACAAATAAATTTGGGCTTACCTCTCCTATCCTTTCAAAGTAGGAAAGCTGAAATTTTCAAATACAAACATACAAGTAAATAGGTTTAGGCTAAGCATGCCTAATTTTTATATATCTTTCTTCCTAATATAACAGATTTCTAAATATATTGTTTGTAGAAAGAGTCATATAAGGACAATATTCATTTAAAAACTGTTAAAGGACCCAAAATTACAGCTAAATAAGACAAATGCATTCAAGTGTTCTATCCCACCAAAGGATGACTACAGTTAATATATCTTACAGTTTGAAATAGCTAGAAGGAGGATATTGGAGGTTTCCAAGACAAAGAAATGATAAATGTTTGAGATGATGGATATGCTAACTACCCTGATTTGATCACTATACATTATACATATTAAAACATCACTGTGCACCCTATGAATACGTACAATTATTTGTTAATTTAAAAAATTTTAAACACAAAAGAAATGAAACAAGCACCCCCAAAACCATCTGTTCATAAAAACCAGTTTGTTGTTGAACTTTTTAAACCTTTGCATATATATGTTACTGTAAAATACAATAAAAGTGTCACAGAAAAAAATCTGTTTCAGGAGCATGATTAAAAATTGGTACCATGTGAAAGAGGGTAAGACTGCCTAACTGATGGAGGTATTTCAAGGGTAAAAAAAAAATGCCGACGGAGAGACTGAAACTGTAGTGTTAGCATAAGCTAGAAGCTGGTAGTGATAAAAATGGTGAGGAGTAGTTAAAAATAATTTGGTCAGTAACATATATTTGAAAACAGGTCCCACAAGCATAACATTTAGGAAACGACTTCTCCCCATCCTTGTCATAAATCCTCTGCAAACGTCCTGTGTGATCTTTCCTTCTTGTCCACAAACTATCCTCTCTGCATCAGCTCACTCCTGCTCTGGTATCATTCTCTAGCCCCTTGTTGGCTTCTGAAGGCTCCTTTGTGCTCCTGCTCTACCTGTTCCACTTTTCCATCCATCTCCTCAATACCCTTTTAAAATAAAACCCTCATGAAATGAAGGTTTAGGTAACATTCTTTATTGTGCTACACAGTACAAGAGTTGTTTTGATAGAAATCACATTAACTATAATAGCTAATGGTTCAAAGAGCCTGAGTCTTAATAGGAATAGCTAATAGGTAAATTTATTGAGCACTTATTATTTGGTGGGTGCTTTACATTTATTGCTTCATTTAATTGTCTTAAAGACCTAATGAGAAAGGTACTAACTTTTTTTCATCCTCACTCTAGTGATGAGGGTACTGCTGAAGCTCAGAGGGTCTAAGTAACTTGCTAGAGGGTCACATAGCTAGTAAGTGGCAGAACTGGGACAAGAACGAAGTTTGTGTGTCTCTAAAAACTATGCCTCTTAGCCATTTGATTATACTGGATGCAGTATAATTGGGAAAAGTAATGACACAAAACCATGCTCTTAGTTATTATATTACACTAGATGCATCATGACATAATTTTAAAAAGCATAATTTGTTTCGTGTTGAATATGAGAGATCCGGGCTCAGATCTTGGTCACTTCCCAGTTTTAACTGTACAATCTTGAGCCAGTTATTTAGAACTTAACAGGACCTTCAAAGCTTTGCGATATCTGGGTCCTGTCTAACATCCAATCTTTTCTCTCATTTCTCTACAGTCATACACCAGGCTTAAGTCCCACTGATCTTCCTTCAGCTCCTCAGTCAAGCTCTTTCCTCTCTTAAGGAACTTTGCAAATACTGCTTCTGGAATGCTGTCACCTGCCTAACTCTGAATCATCTTTTAGCTCATCTTTTAGCACTTCCTCAGGCCTTTCTCCAACCCTGATGTAAATAAAGTACCTCCTATTATTCTTTCATAGCACATATAAGTGAAATTTTTGTTATATATTTTTATATTTCATGTCTGTTTAACTCAATCAGGGGTCCATAAACTGTAGCCTACAAGTGAAATCCAAACGCCCTGTTTTTGTCAGTAAAGCTTTATTGGAGCACAGCCACACAGGTTCATTTACATACTGCATACGGCTTTCAGACTACTAGGGCAGAGCTGAGTAGTTGAGACAAAAACTATATGGCTCACAAGGCTAAAAATATTTGCTATGTGGTCCTTTACAGGAAAGCTCGCTGAACCCCTAAAGCAGAGGATAAGCTGGATGAGATTCTTGTTCACCACTGAATACTTGGTGTTAGGTACACTGCAGTCTAGTAATATTTGTTGATTTCACAGATAAATGAATTATTCAGCCATAAAATGGGACTTATTAATAAAAATTATTTGTAATTATATATATATATATAGTTCTTGGCACATAATTGGTAACTACTTTTATTAGGTTGTCTGAAAATTTCTGTAAGATAAATTAACAATTCATAATGTTATTTTTACATACTTGCTTAAGAAATCCATGTTGTCTAAGCTTGAAACTAAGAAAGAAATAGTTTTTGTAAACTTGGAAATGCCAAAAAATTTTTTTAAATAAAAAAGCTGTCAATTTTTATTCTCACCTAAACTATTTTACGTATTGATGTTTCTGAATTTGAGCTGTCAATTTTTATTCTCACCTAAACTATTTCATGTATTGATGTTTCTGAATTTGAGCTGTTCCCTACTTCCATTATGAAAGACAGCTAAAGTAAAGGTAAAATTCAATTTAAACAGCCATTCTATTTCACAACAGTTTTATTTCTTAATGATATACAACTTATAACATCAGTGCTGTAATATTTCATTTCACACTTGAAGTCAGTATTTCTTTTTCTGGAAAAAACATAACTTATTCTGTGTATAGCTAAATAAACAAGTGCAATGGCAGAGCAGTCTTTGACAACTTTTAAGAAAAGATGACAGTGAGCCATTGCATGAGGTTCTACTGGACAGTCTACAGTGGGGCAGCTTCAAAGAGGGCAAAGCATTTTTCTTTGCAACATGTGAATACACAGTTGAAAGAAAGCCCAGGTTACGGGTGCCTCTACACAGTATGATATGCTGTTTCGGATTTGCTGGTTTTGTTTATTAGAAGTGACCTACATAATTTAGGCTCTTTCCCAAATGACTCTTACAACTGCTCTCATAGTAGGTGAGAGGTGCACAAGACAAGCATTTATATGTAAGATGTTTGAAATTGTCAACAGCCTCTAAAATAATCACTGAAATATATATTAAAACATGGTGGATTTCAAGTTTACTAATTCTGTTTAAAAGTATTGAACTTACAGGCCTACTGTATCTAAAGACTGGAGAAAAGAATAAATATACCCTAAATTCTAAAGAATAAAATCAAGAAATCTGTCTTCAGAATTTAAAAAAATGATAAGTCAAACTAAGCTGAATTTAAATAAGTTTTCTTCTTCTAAAGTTATTATGACTTCTAACCTGGATGAGGGTAACAGCCACTGTAGCTGCAACTATATATAAAAAAAGAAAAGATATTCAATTATTAGCTCAAAAGTGCGACATTAAGATTCTTTGTTTGTTTGTTTTTTGTTTTTTTGAGACAGGGTCTCACTCTGTTGCCCAGGTTGAAGTGTAGTAGTAACATGATCACGGCTCACTGCAGTTTTGACATCTCGGGTCCTAGTGGTCCCCAAGTGGTTGGGAACACAGGTGCATGCCACTACCACACCCAGTTAATTTTTTTTTAACTTTTTAAAATAAGAGATTGCATCTCCTTATGTTGCCCAGGCTGGTCTTGAACTCCTGGGCTCCAGTGATCTGCATCTCAAAGTGTTGGGATTACAAGCATGAACTACCACTCCCGGCTTTAAAATTATTGTATCCCTAGAAATCCTGTCATTTGTTACAACATGAGTGAAACTAACTGGAGGACATTATGTTAAGTGAAATAAGCCAGGCACAGAAGGACACATTTTGCATGTTCTCACTCGTGTGGGAGCTAAACTTTTTTTTTTTAAAAATTGAACTCACTGAGATAGAGAGTAGACTGATGGTTACTATAGGCTGGGAAGGGTAGCTGGGCATGGAGTGGGGAGGGGATAAAGTGGGGATGTTTAATGGATACAAAAATAGGTAAAATGAATAAGATCTAGAATTTGGTAGTACATAGGGTGACTACAGTTAACAAGAATTTATCATATATTTGAAAGTAATTAAAAGAGTAGAATTGGAATGTTCCTAATACAAAGAAATGATAAATGCTTGAGGTAGGTATACCTCAATTACCCTGATTTTGATCACTGCACATTGTATACCTGTATCAAAACATCACATGTATTCCATATTATATACAACTATTATGTACCCATAATTAAAAATAGAAATTAAAAAATCTTGTATCCCTGTTTTTTCTAATAAAGCATAATAAAAGCTCATGAATTCAACCTGCAAAAATTTTCTTCTAACTTTGCAAGCAAAAGAAGATATAATGAATATCATAAACCTAAAAATTATCTGGTATTGGTAATAAAGTGCAAATGCTAATTCATATGTTTTTGACTATACTCAAAATAGGTTCTGGTCCAAATAACAAGGTCCAAACAGTGTTACATGACATTCAATATTTCAGTCTTAATTTCAATTTCAAGCTATAGGCCAATTAAAAAATAGCGGTTTTCTATTGACACAATGATTGCTCTTTGGCTTGATCCACAGCAAGAAACGATGTGCATGAAAACACTAAAGGAATCCACCATAAATCTTAGTATTATTCACCCTCTAGCTAAACATGCAGCCAAAAATAGTTCAAGTTGTGTGTACCTGAAAATATATAATAATTTAGAGGAGTATAAACTTGAAAACCTAAAAGTTTCTCTACTTTTTAATGGCGTACTGACTTTGATGCAAGAAATAATTAATTCCTATTCATTATAGTTTACACATGAAACAACATTACATTTAAAAAAATGAATCAATCAGTTCTAGTCCTATTTGTATGTCCAAGAAGACAAAACAGGACAATAGAGGACATGAGTGTCTACATTTGTGGGGAAATTACAGTCTGGTGGTTGTCCCCAGGGCTACTGTGTAGCCTTCTTCAGTGTAACCGAAAAGTAGGCAAAACACTCTTCTCTTCCACAGTCCAGAAACGTCTTCTCTGCAGGTTCCATGATCCATATGAGATGGTTGGGACCCAGCAGTACTATAATTTCTCCCAGGACCATTATTTGATATTTAACGTTATACAAACTACCCAGCTGTCCTTACATAGCCTAACTAAATCCACTCTCCCCTAGTGTGAAGAAAAATAGAGTCAAATTGCAGGCATTCATGATATACAAGTCTTTAATGCCAAACTGAGCATTTGAATGTGTAAAGTCTTCACAACAGATTAATTGTATCACACAGACATTATCATTGGCATTCTAGAAAAAAATTATAACACCATCTGCCTCTATGTTTATCAAATTCAGATTTAAAATGGTATGAATTAACCGATAGTCCTTGCCTATATGTTTTAAGTTATTAATATCTTGTGTGGGTGTTTTCTTTGTTGTTGTTGTCAGCACAATGTTAAAATGTTTGGATGTGTTTCAAAATCTCATTTACTATGAATAAAATGAAAGCCATTTTCATACAGGATATTTATCCTATATTATAAACCTTTAAGTGAATGACCACAAAAGGTCTAGTTCCCATGAATATAAGAATATCTTTGTTTGATGATGCGTGCAATGTAGCAATGTTATGCTGATTAACTCTTAATTATCAAGCTATTCATGTCACACAACTACACTTCCCATTTCAAATTTGTGTTGAAGTAAAAAGTGAATAATGACAAATGTGTAAACTATGTTTCTGACAGATAAAGTGATTTTTTTCTCCTTTATATATAAGAGACTATCAGCACTTTAACTGGTCACATTTAATTAACCCAAACTTCTCTTAATAGATATTTACAGATTCAAGATATTTTCTGTACCCTTAACATATGTGGAGAAAATATAATTAATAAATAATGATACAAAAAAAGTTTACTCCACTCACCTGTCTGTTACGTTCATCCATAATCCTCGTAATCTGAATCTTTTTTCTCCCCATAGTCCCCGTTTTTCTTCTCTCTCTCGTCCCTGAAATTATGTATTTTTTCCTTCCTTTTCTTTCTCTTTCCTGTTTCCTCCAAACAAATCTCCTTCTTCAGCACTTGCACAGCTCAGTTCCCAAATTCCTGCATTCGTTCCTGCTGAACAAAAAAGAAAAATTAAATACCACTCTAACAGCAAGTCAGTTTCATAAGAACTATCATATTCTAATTTTATCAAGGAAATAAACTATATGGAGCTAAAGCAATAAAATGAATAAAAATAACTTTTTTGTTAAAAATATATGGTATATCACAGACAGGAGCAGATCAAGTAGTTTTATTTTTTAACAATTAAAATGATCTCATAAGTAATTTAACAAGTCATTTAAATGATGCAAACTATGCTTTTTTAAAGACTAACACTTGAAATGTATTTTTTTTTGTAAAAAGTTTCCTAATCTTTTTAATGAAATTAGGTGACAATTTCACCCGTTATGAAAAATTACCTAAATCAGAGAGTTAATGAACCTTTATGTACCTGTGTATGCTAAGTAGGGCAGCTAATTCATTTCTGAAGGGAAAACAATCTCCTGTTTTGACAGCAGAGGTGATAACGTCCCTCGTTATGCAAATAGGATGGACGATTATGAAAGTGCTATTTGATATATGTAAATGTCAACTAATTTAAATCTAAATCCTTTAATCTTACTTTAAAAAAATTATTGCTGTGAGAACACCTTAAAAATAATATGGAATATTTAATCTTAGATTACAAGCATCTATCAGCAGTGAGATCTTTTCTTTTTGAAAGCCCTTAAACTACATCTTAGATAACAAGAATCAAAAAAGATAAGCATTGACACAAAATAAATGGTGCAAAATTAAGATTATTCTTCAATTTATAACCATATTTTTTATAACAAGCCATCCTTCCTTTAAATTTAAATATTTAGAAACAGACATATCATGTCTTTGTGGAGTAAGATACAAAATTGCAGAAGCTTCACATTACATACTGGAGATCTCTGGGTCAGGAATTAAAATTAGAGAAATGATCATCAATAACATGAGATAAGCCCAAGAAACCCAGAATATTAAAAGTACATACTTTACTTGGTTTTAAATTACATCTGAAAATATTTGAACACAACGGAAGTTAATTGCTCTGAAATGTGAAAGTTAACAAGAAAGCATTCCACAATGGGTTTTTCAAGCAACAGCTCCAATTATTCTACTTCGTTTTAGGTCAATGAATGCAACAACTTTACACACTGCTCAGAATTTCCCTGTTTATTTTAGCTGGTGTCTGACAACGGACCTGATAAATTCCCACATGTATTATGTAATGCTAAGCCAATGTCCTGGCTATTTAATAGATTGTTTGGCTCCAATTCAAAGTTCTTGGAACAGGAAGGCTGTTACACATTCGGTCTGACCATTAGCTGTCTTCTGATTTCTTTAATTTAATTTCCAAATTCTTTATCACCTTGGGTATTTTTTTTTTTTTTAGTTTTTGGTGATTATTTAATTGCAGAAGCTATTATGATATAATTACTTCTGGTGGATTAAGTGCTGCTTAAATACTAAGACTATCCATTCTCTTTTGCCTCACGCCTCTCTACTAAACTGCAGCTCAGTTCTGCCTCTCATAATATGTATGTTGAGTAACATTATGACCACACAGTGCTCATCAAAAACTATTGCTCCAGCTGTAATTTTAAATGTTGGAGGTGGTTCAAAATTCTAAAGAGTTATAGAAATAACACACATTTGACAAATACATATAAAAATAGTTATAACATATTGAAATCACATTAAAATATGAAAAACCCACAAAGCATAATTGCATCATATATTTGATGTTGCTAGACACTGTCCATCTATTTTTAGAAAACGTCTTAAATGTCACTCAATGGGGCAACTTTCCTGTGTTTCCTATAGTCTTACCTTAGAAGCAAGCAGTGTGTTAGAATGGTATTTCCCATGCACGTTTAAGACCCCAAAGATACAAACAAGCTTTCTCTATCACAGAAAGCCAATCCATGAATCCACAGCAAATGCATATAGGACAATTTCCTTTCCTTTCATTTAGCTGAGGCCGGTGGCACTATCGGCTTACAGGACTATGCCTGCCTAAGCGCTTATTCACTTCAAGGTGGAAGGTCAGGGTGAGCAGATTAGAGTGTGGTGATAAGGCAGAAGAGACAAGAACATCTACAGATCCTGATTTCAAAATACAAATAACCAAACAAGCAGCAAAACATCCTTGGAGAAAAGTCTCAGAAAGACAGAGAGAGTTCCTGATGAACCAAACTTAGGAGAGTTCCTCCATATCATCACCCCATATTTCACAACTTTGAATGAGACCATTTTTAAAAAGAGCAGAGCAAGGACTTAAAAAAAAATTTCTTAAAACATGCTGGAAAAAAATTTTGCCAAAGAGAATGTGTGTATGTATCTATGTATATATAAGTGGTTGATAAAAATGCCATTGAATATATTTTCTTTTTTGAAATATGCAAAGCAATGTAGAGAGAAGCAAGTTTAAATTTCAATAGAACTAAACTTTTGTTTTCTGTATAAATATTTCTTGAGGTATTGCCTTCAGAACATTTCTAAAATCCAAAATTTAGTATGAAGTACACGTGCAGAGTAATATGTGGTGATGATGACACTAAGTAACTGGTCATGAAGTAAAGTCTATCATGAAACGTGGTTTAGAACATTTGATTATGGGTCACCACATTTCAAGGCTGTCACTAAAAATTTAAAGAATTAGGAAGGTCAACAATAGCTCACGCATTGTTTTCTTAGCACAACATTTTCTCTAACCTAATTTTTATGCAAAAACTATATTAAAAGGTCAGTTTCAAGTATCAATTTGTAGGAGGCCTAGAGAGGCGAAGAAAGAGATTATTTAACTTTAGTAATCTGTAAAACTGTTTTGTGTGTATATGAAAAAGGAATATAACAGCTAGCCTACATGTAGTAAAATTTCAAGTTATGCTGAGAACTTTCATTACGTACAATCAACCATAAGCTTAAAATAATTCCAACAGCCTTGCCACTACTTTTTTTCCACAGGAAAGAAGCATTCTTAGAAAATGACAGAGCTACATATAAATAATCACTAATTTAAAAAAAAAAAGATGAAGAACTGCTCTACTATAGTTACACTCTATAGAATTACAGTCTTCTGCATTTTTTTTTTCTAAAGAAAAAATGCCAACCCAGATAAAAGAAAACTAAAATGAGGCTGCTTACTAAAAAGGGGAACTTCATTATGGCAGGCTTCTGCTCATTTTGAGTTTGGCATAAGCAGGCAGATGAAGGCAAAGTGGTTTGAGACCCAAGTCGAGAAGAATTTCTTCTGGACAGATGCTAAAGATCATTCTCCCACTGGGCTATCTCATTTACAAACAAGTTCCCTTGAGTGACACATACCTCCCCCCTCCATTTCCCTCCTCCCTCCCTCACTCTTTCTTGCCCTCTTCCTCCCTCCTTCCCTCCTACAAATCTCTCCCAGTAGCACAGAAGAATTTTGACAGAATGGCAGGAAACACGCACACAGACTGGTCAGGGAAGGATATGATGTCAGCAACCACGAACAATAAAAGGTGTAAAGGTGCTTCCTTCCCTAAACTGTTCCAGAAGTGTAAAATGGGAACCAAAACTCTCCACTTCCTTCTCTGAGCAGAACCGTCTGAGTGTGCTGTGCTGCACACCCCACACACAGAGGCCTTGGAGAGGTTCAGATAAGGGACAATGAGGACAATTCAGACCGGGAGCGTGATTTTTAATTTCCATCTTTAAAACACCTGAGAAAAATTCATGTCAGCTCTAGGTTAGTGTTTTATTATGATTGCTTTAAGAAATGAAAATAAGAAAACAAACACATTGACTTCATTGAAATAGCAGATATATCTCAGTTATTGTTTACCAGGCCTTACAAAAGTCATCGTACACAGTTAATGCAGTCATATAATTGGAATTTACCCTTTGAGGCAAATGAAAAATATGCAAGCAAAGAACCAAAATAGATACATTAAAACTTTTGGTTAAAAAAAAGAATTATGAAAACCGGCAAAAAAAAAATCAATGCATGCTGGTAAAATATGCTAATCATTTGTTTGCTCCCACATTAAAAAAAAAAAAAAGATATACTGAGGGGGAAAAGATTCTTATGGTTATTGAGTTTCTCGAGGTTCTTTAAAAAAATTCAAACTAGGAACCAAAGTGAATAACACAAACTCTGCATCTATAGTGAAACTATTTAATCTCCTCACTATTAGGTTCTTTCTAACATGGAAATGGCATTCTACATAAGGTTTCTGTAGGAAGAAAACCACATATCAAGCGTATCTGAGTCATCATCAGATTTCAATCATCTTCCCACAACACTTTGATTTAGAAGTTAAACATAACCTTCAGTTATGTGTTTTGATCTTAGAGTGAAACTGCCATGCCACATTAAAAGATGTGGGAAGAAATTAATTCTCTTCTGCTAAACTTATCTTTGCAAAGCATGTATTTTTCTGCAATAAGTACAATGCAGTCACTTAAATAAAAACAGCCTATGAATAATGGTAAAACATTGAAATATGTGATGTCAATTTTCAAAAAAAAATTCCGGTTTTCTTTGATTCATATTAGCAGATCTTTTTGATTGACTTACATTTTCACTAACACTAGTATCCTCAAATAATGTTTTGTAAAAACTCAAAGCTGAAAACTGAGCACACTCTATCACACAACACTAAATAATACTGTTAAATAAATACAAGCTGGATACATCGTAAGGGGCAAAAATGATCATAAGCCCAGTTGCTGCAAACCTAGTATTGCTAAATCAAATAATTAAATGATTCATTATCTTTTTAAGTGGAAAACTTTGCTCAATATGTTACATCTAGTTACATTTAGGTTTCTATTTTGTGATTTGTTTGATAAAATGTATGAAGCATGCAATTATATTTTGGTTAAAAGGAACAGGCAGAACTTTTACTTTTTTTCCATTAGGAGCTATTCTGAACTTCAAAAGGTATAACCAAATTACTACTCCTATTGATGCTCGACTGCGTGATGTCTTGAGTTGAGGAGGATTTCTTTGGCCTTGAAAGTTGCTCCATTTCTCTCTAAGCTTACCATGTATTTTATAAATATACCATTACCTTAGCTATGAGTGCATTCTGAGTTTATTTCCAAATCACATACCCAAGACTCACTCTTCTAAGGGTAATAAAAGAACAGCTATTCTTTTCCACTAGATAAATACCATCATGCCATATGCCAATTTATTTTCCTAATTTATTCCAATTTAGTATCAATATGAATTTCAAACCATCTTCAAGTCTCAGTAACATAGTACCACATATACAAATAATGTTGACCATCTTTTCCATTTCCTCACATCTGCCATGCTCCTTCCTGCCACTAGGCCTTTGTGTACTAGGCAATTCTTTCTGCCTGGATGTTCCTCCTTTCCTTTTGTACCTCCTTGACTTCTCCTCCCTTCTGTCTCAGCTTCAGTTTCACCTCCTCAGGAAGTACTCCACGCCCTCCTGATGACATCGAATTTCCCTCTCATAAGATCTAAGCACTGAGTCCTTCTCCTTTGCAGCACTCGCAGCAATTGAAACTGTATGTTTGCTTGTCTTCCTCAACATCTGTTTTATTTGTTTGTTTCACCGTTTTATCCACAATATATACCCTAGTGTCAAACATATAGAAAGAGCTAATGACTATTCGTTGACTGACAATCAGTTAAGATGTGTATCTCTCAACTGACGTATTTTCTTTTCTTCAGCTTCTACTTTTACTGACTACTACTAAAAATATTTTACTATTTTTGCTTACACAGAAGCAGATTGATAACCTCACTTAATACTTCGCCATATTTACATAGCATCTCCTATGTGGAATTAGAATAATTGATACTGAGAATTGGAAGTTAAATGGATTTTGGGGTCAGAAAAAACAGGGTTAGAATTCTAGCTTGGTACTTGGACGCTGTGTGACTCCAGACTGATTATTTAATCCCTTGGAACTGTTGTTTCCTTGCCCTACCCATAACTGGGAAAAAAATCTTCATTTGTAGGATGGTTATGATCATAACATGTGGTACTATATGTGAATCCTGGGTACACAGTAGTACTGGGAACATGGCCTGCTGCTCGTATGATTGCTTCCGTTTGAAGGCATAAAGTGAAAGTCCTATCATATAGTAATGCTATCAAGTGAATAGTGTAGTCCTTACATTTACCATGAAGATCTCACTTTCCAAAGCTAATGATTAGCAATTCTGACAGATAATGCCTCATTTATCCTGTAACAATAATCACCAAATGAAGAATAAATTTACAGTGTTAAAAAAATTAAGAAGTTTCTCTTACATATCAGCTACGGAAGAGCTTCAGGCTGCAAAAGTGGAAATAACTAGGGAAATACATCAATTTTCCCCATGACCACGGCTGCTGAAAACTCTACATTAATGCTTCTAGTCCTACTTTAATATCTTTCCCCAAGGACAAAAAGAGATGAAATGTATGTCAGAAATATAATAAGGCTAAAAAGGAACTCGTTTTCTTAACCCCTGCAATTAATTTAATAAGTGGGCCTAACCTGCCATTATCCCTGACATACATCATTTTATTTACACAGTTCCAGAATTTAGGAGACACATACCTTTATACAATTGTATTGCATTATAAACAATTTAATAACTGTGAGGGAAGCACAGTCTCCCTGTCATAGTTATCCATGGTCTATTTTGTCTTGGACACTTTTTTCACACTGCAGCTAAAATAGCATTCTCTATTCCCATGCCAAAATAAACTCCAAATGGTCTAAATATGTGAAGAACCTTGTGCTATCCAACCCTACCACAGCTTTTAGTCTTTCCACATCATATTAGGTAATTAATTCAGGGTTCTATCATGTCTTTGTTTTTCTAATTTTTCACAACAGTGCAGCCACCATGTTTTCTTTCAAAGGCCTCTGAGTGATGTGGTAGGGCTCACCACAAAGGTAAAGCCTGCACTGTCTTATGACAAAGCAAGAGCTACAATTTAACATCAGATTGTGTTCTGTTCCCCAGCTCTAACCTCTCAGTAAGCACATGCAGCTGGATTTTTGTTGCTGTTATTGAACAAAGCAAGTTAAGCACTATACAACATCAACCTCAGTCAAACAAAATAGTCTGTAAAGCAAGCTAGGCTAGAAGTTGGAGATGTTGCTATTATAGATTTTCATGCTATTATGATAAAAACATCTAAATTCCCAGGCATCTCATGACCCTGTTAGAAAAAAATTATGTTCGTTATATTCTTCATCTTTAATATATCATATTTCACGATTAAAATGGAAATACTCTAAAAATATTTTTCTCATATGCCTATAAGTGTTGAACACATATTTCAGTCTTACTGATACATTTGTGCATGTGTGCACATGTGTGCACAGCACATGGAAAAACACATTTTAGTCTGTCGAAATGTGTAAATAAAACAATAAGAGTACATTTTAAGACACCTGAGTTGTCTTGAGTATTATCACCAGTAAATAATCACAATATTATTAAGATCGTGGTGTGAATGCCTAAAAGGACGTTCTCAGTAAAAGCTTTATTTTACTCTGCATTCAAATATTATGTTAAATGATTGAAAATTATGTCCTTGAAAATAATTTGCTTCTTTCATTATTTATTTTCCAATTTACTTAACATTTAAAGATGACCTTGAAATGGGAAGAAATACCATTGTCCCCCTGCCAATGTTTTTGTTGTACATTAAAGAGAAAATGCTAGATAAATCATCTGTTATTTAAGTGGAATGTCATTTATTTTTATCTCTAAACCTTCACATTTAGAAGGTTTACACAGAAACTTTACATGCTCAAATATGTGATGTTCAAAATGCTATAATACTATCTCTCAAAATATATATGATATTGCTATTATATGTGGCTCAACATGGAACTCAGTGATTCATCAATTTTTCTATTTCTCTTCATCTCTTTTACAGCATCCTAATCAACCTAATTAAGGCTTTGTTCATCTGAAACCTCTGATGACAATTTGTTTAACTCTATCCCACTGTGGTCTTCTTATAAGGAGAATTAAATCTGATCTTCTGACAGCAATCATTAAATGATCCCAACTGGCCCCAATTAAACCACATGGCTCATGGGCTTCCATACAGTCAAGTGCCAAGTTCTCTGTTTCATTCACACATTGTTCTTGGTTTATTTTCTTAAAGCCAGTTAAGCATGTGTCTTATCAAGTGGAACTAAATTTCCTTATGTACATTAGCTCCAGACACAGTGTGTCAATTGACTGCACACCAAAGTATCACATAGGACTTCTGAAGCCATTCTATACAGCTGCAGAGGTACTAGCGAAAAAGAATCTTTACATTTATTTACTCATCCTGAAATGGACCCACATGTACATTCTCGAAATAATACACGTGTTTAAACAGTTCTGGCTAACATAAATCAATAATAACTTTTATTTGGCTTGCTTATAATGATCTTTTAATAGAAATTCTCTGCATTTAGAAGTTGGGCTTAATATTCTATTTTTTTTTTAACATTTGAAATTATCTCTTTACCTCCCTCTAAAAAAGCAGTACCAAAGTAAGACTTCTGAAGTTAACCTTTCTTACCCTTAATTTCTGCTCTAATTTTTTCACATATGCCCAATTGTAAGTTCTGTAATGATGTTCCCAGGCCTTCCTACAAGCGCAGGTAGCCTCAGGATTTAGAGCTCATTGATTGTGTGCTACTCCAGGGAAATGACTGATTAAAAACAGCCTCATGAGGAGGAGTAGCTCCTATTCACATCTGGCTCATCTGATTCTAAAGTCTAATACCTGTATGAAGATTTGATCCATAGATTTAGATTTTGAACAACTGCAGCAGTTTACCTAGAATATTTTGATGTCAAAGCAGAAACAGTTAAATTAATCCCACTATGACTGGTGTCTGACACAGGTTCTGAAGGCTTTAATCAATTACCCTACTTTCTTGTGAATATAAACAAATACACTGTATTTATATATATATGCTAATTATGGCTATCACTGATCATCTGCTGGTACTTGATGCAGGCTGTCACAGTTCTCAGAGCAGATGGATTAGAACATATCTGTTCATCCTAATCATACATTAAAAACTGTTAGAGAATTGAAATACATGCTATGCATCTTATAGGACATTAGCCTTGATGGGACATGTAATTGTTCTTATGACTCAACCAACAGATGTTAACTGCAAAGAAAAATGAAAATACAATGGAATTTTTAACATAGTGATAAATTTGGTAATGCCAGGAAAAACATTATGTGCATTTTCTTTATGATAATTAAATATATACCTGATCATCTATTCACTTAATAACTGTATCCCTCTCAAGAGGAAAATTCAAAATATTTGTTACAAAATGCTGATGATATAGAAAATACTTACCAGCCTTACAACTGACTGACTTTTAAAAATGTGTAATAAATGTACTAAAATTTTAGCAAAGCAGTACAGACACTGGATGTTGAATTATGAAATATTTCTCATGTATTATAGTAATCTCCAATAAGATTTGATGTTAATTTTAGAGCATGCTTCTGCTAAAAAGGGCAAACCCTGCAACAGATTTAGTACAAAGAAGCTGAAAATATCCTGTGGAAAAAAAAATCTGTAGAGAAATCAGCCAGCCCAAATCCTGCCATTACTCAGCACTGTAGTGACGTGCGGATGTTTGTAGTGGTTTGAGGAGCCAGCAGGGGTGGAAACTCTACGTACTCGACTCCAACATGATTGCAATTGAACCTCATCAAAGTAAGAGCTCATAATTTGTCACAGAAAACAGCCAATTAACATATGTTAGAAAAAGGCTTCATAAAGATAATATATGATTAAAGACCCAGTGCAGCTGCTGAAAATCAAAACTATGCATTTAAAAAAGAAATCTCAGCCTGAGCTTCCGTATGGTTAAACTGATAATGGCTACTACGATTTTTTTTAAGTAGAAAAATATAATTATAGTGCTTCTTATAAGTTTGGGGTTATGGCAAGGGAGAACTGGGTACTGTGGCACTATTTACTATTCCTTACTTAGTTCTATAAATAGTTGAAGCCCTTGCCAAAACTCTGTAGTTACTTTGTTATAGTGCTATTTTAAAACACAGACCTTCATTGTGAGCTAAATGGCCTTCAGGATGCACTTTGTAGTTATAGCATTCCTCTCAAAACTATATCCTCCCTTTATCTGTGCAAAACTCCAGAACAAGAGACCTCTCCATGACTGCCCTGGCTCACTGTAAAACATGCTGGGGCTGTGTAACACACTGTTCGAATACTTCAGAACTTCTCTCAGGGTGGTGGGCAGGCAGGGTGACAGTTAAATGTCAGAAATGAGATTAAGGCACACACATGGAGTTCAGGTCCTCTAACAGAATGCAGTCCACGCTACCTGCCACAGCTTTGGAGCAGACCAATTACATGTAACATACTTGGTGTATTCTGATTGTAGATTTCAGGTTGGAGTACATGGGAATCAAACCCTGGCTAAGTCACTGTAATGGGGTATACCATGAGCCAAAATCATGATGCTTAATATCACAGATATCAATGACAAAATTCAATCAGTCACAGAGACATGAAGTTGTCAAGCATGATGCTACGTGCCATGGACACCACTGAAAACAAAACAGAAGGTCTCAGTCTTCATGAAGCTTACGTTCTAAGGGGAAAAAGGGCAACACACAAGTGCACCAATATGATGATTTTAAATACAGAAGTGCTATAGAGAAAATATCGCAGTGGAATGGACCAAGGGGTGATGAAGTGGAGAAGGGCAGAGGTGGCTATCTATTGGGCTGATTTATAGGGAGGGGTTATTTGAGGAGATGACGTTTGAGGAAAGCCCTAATCCACAATGGAGTCAGACATTATTTGGAGGATGAATACTCCGTCACTGTGCCTGTCACTGGTGGTACAAGCCTGGCCAAGTCATAGTTTTCTAAACCCCAGTCTCTTTCTCTATAGAGTGGGAATAGTAACAACATACACATTCTATTATGAGGTTGTGAGGCTCAAATAAAAGACAAAACCACACTCATTTGTAAAAATTCAGATGGATACAACTCAATTTCATACACTAATTGTGTAAACTTGCTTCCTTCACTGATATTATATAATTTTATAAAAATTGTAAATACTTTGAAGCTCTAGGAATATAGCATAATGCAAAATGTTTCTAAATTGACATCAATTGAGTCCAAAAGCATCCCTCTTCCCTTGAAATGTGAGTATTTCATGATGGCAATGGCCACTGGTTGAAACACCTCTTTTCATTTCACAATGCTAACTATGGATAACACCATGAAGAATCTGATAAATACAATGCAAAATTTCTGCAAGTGTAAAATATAGAATTATATAAAAATCACACTTTTTAAAATTTGAGAAAAAAACAATCTTACAACCGTACTAATGTAACTTGTCAGTGGGCTAGGTTGATTTATTTCATCTCTCAAAGGACCCAACTCCCAAGTAATCAGCAGAGCTTTGATTAAGATGTCAGCAGTATTTGAAAATCCCAGTGTCTCACAGTATTGGAAATATTCATGTATCTTTGGACATCCCCACCTATAGATTAAGCTGTGTAGCCTCAAGCCCAACAGATTAATTTCCAACTTGGAATGAATAGACAAATTGAATTATCTAGTATTTTAAATGAAAGCGTTTTTAAGAAAAAAATACAGGCCTGGCGCAGTGGCTCATGCCTGTAATCCCAGCACTTTGAGAGGCCGAGGCATGTGGATCACCTGAGTTCAGGAGTTCGAGACCAGCCTAGCCTACATGGTGAAATCCCGTCTCTACTAAAAATACAAAAAGTTAGCCAGGTGTGGTGGTGGGTGCCTGTAATTCCAGCTGCTCGGGAGGCTGAGACAGGAGAATCACTTTAACCTGGGAAGCAGAGGTTGCAATGAGCTGAGGTTGCACCATTGCACTCCAGCCTGGGCAACAAGAGAGAAACTCCATCTTAAAAAAAAAAAAAAAAAAGGAAGGATTATAAATTCTAATAAATAGAAAATTAAAGGACAACAGGCTCCCACTTTAATTTTTAAGGTTGTGAAACAGAAATGCCTAATGACAAATGATAGTATTTTAAGGAAAGGTCAAAATTTCCTATGCCTTAAGGAATTAGGGGTATATATTTTCAATTCTCCCTCCTCTTTTTTGGAGGAAGTTATAAATAGATTTGATTCTCTATTCCAAACCATTTCTTCTAATTTCCTGTTTGGTGAACATAATTTATCAGTTTTAAAATAGGGTAAGTTATATAATTTACCATGAAGCCTAAATGAACACTTATCGATTTTCATTTACAATCAATCAAATGCCCTACAAAAGAAACATAAATCTGAAAGTTTTTTAAAAATAAAAACTATATTTTTCTTTTCTAAATGTATCATGGTATAGATATTATAACAAAAAATTGCATTTGATTTTCTTCTCAGTGCTAACCAATATTTCACATTGCATTCTCACCTCCCTCCCTGTCTATCTAGTAGGATGACCTCTGGGATACATTTGCTTCACCCTCCAAAACCCAGTCATGACTGCATACAAACCAGACATGGAAATATGAGTTTCTCCTCTCTACTTGTAGCATTCCCCACTCCAGTTTTTCATTTCATCACCTTTCTTTATCTCTTTTTCCACATGTTTGGAACTGAGGGGATATGGAAAGTGAAACTGTCAAAGAGCTAGGAATAGAGGTGTTCTCAGACGAGCAAAATGTTTCCTCCATACAATCCAGGCAGGGCAAGGACAGGCACGCTGCAGAGGGATGTTGCCCTGGGCCAGAGTGAGCTGAGACAGTTTCTAGGCCGAAGGCCTAGCAGGAGGCTCCTTATCTCAGCATGTCTACACATTCTGTCCCAGGCTGTTTTCAAGGATAGCCCAAGTCATCCTCGGCAGATAACACTAAACGGAAAGTATTACAGTGCTTCCCCTGTAAAAAAGATCAGGTACTATAGATCAGAAGTTACTAAAATGGATCCTATTTTAGCCTGATTCTCTCAAACCTAGACTCTAAAAGAAAGCACTCTCGGGTGGAGGCAAGCTCACGACTTTCCTTTCCTTAGAGATCCCAAAGTGCCTAAATTAGCATTCCCCAAAGTGGATTCCAGAGATTACTGGTTCCTAAGATTTTAACAAGCTGTTTCTCAAAAAAAAAAAAAAAAAAAAAAGTCAGGAAATCAAATCAAATATATTTGGAAAACTGATTTATTTGTTATAGGACTTTTCATATTCTTCTACATGCTGAATGTCATAATCTGGACTATTTCCCAATATATTTCAGATATCCCTTGGAAATGCTAGCTTTAAAGAAAATAACAAGCTTCTTCCCATTGACCAATGAATACACTGCAGTGCTGAAATACTTCAGACCAATACTTGGCTCAGTGCTTGGCACAAGGAAAATACAATAGTATTGCTGAAGACATGATAAAACAATGGAAAACTTTTTTTTTTCAGTTTTATAAAAAAAGTGCAAACATAAGATCAGGTGCAGAAAATTGCTGTTCACTTGAAGTAAAAGTATTAATAAATTATTTTGCCATTAAAGAGTGCAATTTGTTTCCAAACCGCAAAGCACTAAGCGCAAAGCAATACTGCACAGTGGAAAGAAAGCTCCATTTGGAGTCAGACTCTCAGTTGGGTTCGCTAGCTGCATATCTTTGGGCCAGTCAACTTCTTTAAGTCTCATTATCCTCAGACATAAAAAGGGAGCCGGGTTCAGTCTCTAAGACCCCTTTCAAGTTCCTAAATGGTATGCATTCAATAAAGGAGGAAAACAAAACAAAACAAAACAAAAATGAGGGTTGGAATGATTCTCACAAAAGTATCATCCTACAGAAACAATAAATTGACAAGTTATTGTTTGGATAAATAGAATTGTTTTCTTCCATATTTTAAAATATTGAAGGATATGTTCACCTCAGCCTCAAGCAATATAAACAGTTAAGACTAAGGTTTCATTATGCACTTTGGACCACTAATCACATTTAGAAGTTTAATAAATACATAATAGCTAGGAAAATACTAAGGTATTAAAAGCTTTACATATATTAACTCTAATCCTCAAAACAGCCTATGAGGAAGGCACTATTACAATTTCCATTTTACAGAAAAGAAGGCTGGAGGACAGAGTGGTTAAGTAACTTACCCAAGGTCACACAGCTAGTGTTAGAGCTATAATCAATATCAATATATCAATATACCAATATTGGATCAATATATCAATCCAGTCTCACACTCAGAGAATCGAATCACATACTCTGTTACTTCTCTATGCTGCTAAGTAATATTCAAGGGAGTACTTAAAACTTAAAATTCTATGTAGAAAATGTGATGTTCAGGAGTTGGTGGAATCTACAAATTATTTTTAAAATGAGTGTTCTTCAACTCATCTCACATTTTCTTATTCTTGATGGCAAAAATGAGTTTACTTCCCTGTGCCAGCAGGGGAATAGAATGTAAGTTAGATATTTGTCTTTACTATTATAATTTACTGGATGATCATCAGCAGCTGTTTTTGGTTTTTTTTTTTCTACTTTCTACAAATGAATGTGTTCACAAGGAAAACCAGGTAAATGTATACTGTATAAATCAGTATATATTCTTCACAATTCCCGGAAAAAGAAACCCAAAAGAATTGTCTTCCTGATAATGGGTCAGGAGAGTCATTTTCACTTATGATGAAGTTAAGAATTACACAGAATTCTCATCTGAGAATTACAGATGAGAATTACACAGATATCTCATCCCCAAAGCTTGAAGCAGTCATTTTGCTTTCCTTCAAAGTACCTTGAGTAGGTTTCTAAAACACACCTAACCAGCTCTGGTATGACCCTGGCCATTATCCTTACCCTCCTCCCCTTGCCACTCCTCTTTTTCCTTCTCGTTATGCTCTTTCTCTTTCTTCTCCTTATCTCCTCAAATTATGGTCTACTACAAATCCTTCTATTTACAGGGAAGTTTCCACTTCAAAATTTTATACAGTTACCTACTTCTTCAGAATACTTTGTGTTTTAGAGCTCTGAGTTTAATTGTGCAATTCAAGCTCTTTAGGTACATTATTTTAGAAGGAATTTTACGGCTTTCAACTTTATAAGACACACGCCTAATAAAATATACTAATTGTATAAGAACAGCTGACATAATTGGCGATATATTTATAATTGTTGGAAAATACTGCACATTTTGGTGCATTATAGAAGTTAACATGACAGTTTTTTCACAATGTATTGTGTAGCCTTGCTCTATCAGAGCCTACAGCATGAGGAAGTAATCGTGTGTGTATATATATATTCAGCATTTGTCAGACTTTTTTCCTACTTTCATAGGCAGAACACCATGTACCTATGTTTGTACATATATAGTACATCTATATTCACTTACATAATTATATATGTTATTGTAGTAGTTGATGAGAACAGGTCAGAACCATTCAAAAACTCCATAAGGCAACAACGCCACATTATCTCTCTCTCTCTCTCTCTCTCTCTCTCTCTCTATCTATCTATCTCTACCTACCTACCTATGTAAGACTGACTTCAATTTCAGATGCTAGGCAGTTGATGGTGCAAAGCGAATGCTCAAAATGGCTGCTTCTATATCCCATGCACTCCAAGAGGACTTCTGGTAAACAGGAAATCTCTGAGATTTGTAATTCAGTAAGAACGAATCTGTTGGCAAATACTGCCTTTCAAAGTGAAGACACCTCTAGGATAATTTTTATGTCCGTGTCCCTCAGGTATGTTTGTGGGTCCAGTAATAAGTGTTCTGAAAAGGAAAGAGTGTGCATATTACTCTTATATGCTAAAAAAGCGGACATTTCCATCAAGTAACTAGTTCACATACCAAATTATTATTTGGTCACAATCCTGAGGATTCTAACTTTCAAAATTATATAAGAGTATTTGTCTTTTGTATCGTATGAAATAGAAAAACAATAAGCATAACAAAACCTCTACCAAGTCCCTTTGAAATAAATTAGTTAATATGAATATTTTGTGTTTCACTAAATTTACTATGGAGAATTCCAGAATGGACTTGGAAATTTCAACTGCCTTAAAATGAATCTTTATGAAAATGATAAATTTTGCCATGTCAAAAAAGAGAAAAAAATCTTTTCTTTTGGTTAGAAATACATATTTGTATTTTCCATTCATCTAAGGTAAGAGTAGAAACACCGGATATTAATATTGGCAAGAGTTATGCAAGGTCATATCATTTTTCCCTCCTTCAGATAATACCGTACCCAAATTATTTCACAAAGATTCCACCTCTCCTATTTTTAAGGCCTTCCGGAAAAGGAGCAACATAACCTTCCTCAGTATCCTATTTTGATGTTTCACAACTCTCACTCTCAGGAAATTCTTACTTATAGCTAATCCCTCACAGAATACTTTATGTCCACTCCTCTTGTTCTGTCCTTTGTACAGAGAACAACATTTGGTGATCACGTCCTCATGTCATACACTTCAATATTGTGTATTGCTTTATGTCTGTTCTTTTAATCTTTCCTTACGCTGGTTTTTATTTTTTCGCCATCTTTGCAGCTCATCATTTCACATCAGATTTGCCTAGATCTCTGGAGTCCAAAAATATACATAGTCCTTGAAAAGTGCTTTTGTTGTATATTCTTATCAAATAAATATTTTTATTTATCCACACTCTGCATGAATTTTAAAGTAAATGTTTACCTTTTCACTTATTTCAATTTTGTAATTTTTCCCTTGCCAGATTTGTTTCTAGCCAACTCTTCCACATTTTGTATTTAGAGAGTTTGTTTTTTTTTCTCCTTGGCTTCAAGACTTCTGACCACTTCTCTAGTTTACCAAGGTTATGCTGAATTCCTATCTTTCAAGGGCCAGACCTCAAGCACTCTTTATACAGGATTTGTTAGCATTTAAAATGTAATGACTAAATTATTTAATTCACTATTCCTTTAGCTACCATTAAAATCTGTGTGTGGTTTAGATGATATTTTCCCAATTTATGGATGAGGATGTCATATGGAAGAAAATCAAAAGCCTTAGAAAGTTGAAATTATACCTATCCTTTTTCCTTCACACTTTATTAACAAAGATGAAAATATTCTCATAGCACCAGTTCTTATATGATGCTATGTTGCTTAATACTCACGCCCTGAACTTTTAAAGATAAATAACACATGGATTTCATGGCAATATTTCCTTGTACACTTTTAAGTCTGCAAATAAGAGAGTTACTAATTGTGGTTCCCAGCGTCATCCTTCATTTAAGAAATGTTATCAGTGTGATAGTTAACTCCTAGTCTTTACTCAAAAATTCTTAAGACTAACAGCCTATGGCCCCGTAATGCCATTATGTTAAAATAGTTCCTGCTACTGAAATGATCTTAGGGCCGGGCACTGTGGCTCACACCTGCACTCCCTGAACTTTGGGAGGCTGAGGCAGATGGATCACTTGAGCCCAGTTCGAGACCAGTCTGGGCAACATGGTGAGACCCTGCCTCTACAAAAAATTTAAAAATTAAGTGGGTGTGGTGGCGCATGCCTGGAGTACCAGCTACTCAGGAAGCTGAGATCAGAGGATCGTTTGAGCCCAGGAGTTTCAGGCTGCAGTGAGATGTGGTTGCACAACTGCACCTCAGCCTGGATGATGGAATAAAACTTTGTCTCAAAAAAAAAAAAAAAAAGAAGAAAAAAAGAAGCAAAGAAAAAAAAATGATCTTAGGCTTTAGTCAAACCTTTCCAGGAGGAGTTCCATGAAATTTGTTTTGTTTCTTAGTATCAATGGATTCCATAAGTCACACATACTTGTATTACATTTCATGTATGTGGCTACAAGCATGTGTTCATTTCGCTGCATAATAAAGGTGAAAAATAAAGCAAAGAAGCATTTCATTTATTCCTTCACTCAACAATTTTTTTCTGAGTCACTACTATGTTCAAGGCACTATTCTATGTAATATGTCAGGGAATAAAACAGACAAAATTTCATGCCCTGGTGGAACGTACACACTCCTGATAGCACATTAAAAATGGGCTACGTTTTATTTTATCTTTTGTTGTTGCTTTTGGTTAAACAAATTCATAAAAATCATCTTTTAATTTTGATTCTCCTTATCCAACTTTAAGCCTTATTTCTTAGAACTTTTATTTTTATACTATTTGAAATTTCTCCTATTCTCATAATACATTCAGATTTCCATTCCTCATACAGATCTTTCTTTAGTCAACCAGATACTTCTTTTTAAGGCTTGTGATTTCTGATGAAGTGTTCTTTGACCATTTGTGCAATCCTCTATGCTACATAGTATATTTTATAAGAAATATCTTGTAATATTTACAAGTTCTTTGAAATCTGATCCATTAAAATTCATCTTTCCTATTGTTGGCTTCTTCAGATCTTTAATTCCTACCTGTATTTGGGTGCTACAATATTAAGAATCCGGCCAATCACCAGGTTTGATGAAAACTAAACTAATTAATTAATAATATTTTCCTAGCTTTACTGAAAGAAAAAAAATCTAGTAAAACAAGAAAGCTAACTCACTTTCATGTTTTCTGATATTACATGTCTGTGGAATCTGTGACTGTAATATTTAGATATTTCTATTATATGAGGATGAAAGCAAGTAATCAATGACTCTCTAACATATAATAAAAGATAGTGGATTAGAAACAGTGCCATTACAAACGTCAACAATATGGAAAAAAAAAAAGAGAAATTATACAGTGAAAAAAAATTTCCTGAGAATTCATTCAACAGCCACAAAGTTACAGTAAATAAAGAAATGGGAAATACTGTGATAGTTTCCTTGTCATAATTTTAACTTTCATTAAGTATGTTGAAAAAATTCGCAGTAGGAAAAAGGTGAGATAAAGGAGAAAACCCCTCTTATGTGTAGCTAGATGTCTGCCAGTATGTCAACTTCCTAGATACATTTTTCATGTGCTTATGAGAATCTAAATAATAATAATCTTCTTTAAAAATATGACATTCTGGGTTAGGATCTCAATAATTTGTGAAGAAAAACAACTTTTTCTTTTCCAGAATCCTTGAAATTAAGCGTGGGTTCTATTCTGGAACAGTGAAATGTCTGGACTGGAGAGGGCACGTGATGATGCTGACCACAACCATCTCCCCAGAGAAACACACTGCCCCTCCTTCAGTCCTGCTCTAGAAGGAGAAGGAGGGTATGACAGACAGAGATCATCAGTGGCTACTGATTGGGAGCTACAAAAGACGGAGTTATTTTGGAACATCCTGATATTTAGGGGGTGGTATCTTGTCAACCCTAACGTTTTTCCTATCTCATTTTTGGGAGGGATGAAGGGCTTTATAAAAATCTCTCTAGTTATATGTGTATTTTGCTTGCTTTTTTTTTTTTTTAATTCTATGGTAAAAAAAAAAGCATTTCTATTTCTATTTGGGTATCTTACTCCATTATCCATGTGAGATGGATAGACATGTTACATCACGTAAAATATTGTTTGTGTGTTATTTAAATTTGGTTCCCCCCAAAAAAAACCCTCAAAGGTGAACCAACAAATTGTTGAAATTAAGCTAAAAAAATCAATCTATCTTTGGAATTCTATTGAGACATTGCAAAAATGAGGCAGACCAATTATTAGGCAGACAATTTATGTTACACAATTACATTTAAACTACATTTTTCATGTGTCTGAAATTCAAGTTTTATACCTTATTCATTTTTTCTAAGACTCAATTTCTCCACAACAAAGTGAGAGGTGTTAACTATGTAATATATATGTTTCTTCTATTTCTAATTAAAATTTTTATTAGCTATGATCTATTGAAACAAATATCTATGACTTTCTCTAATCCAGAAAATTATCATGTTAACAGATTCTATTTCAAGTTGGAAACACAGAAGAAAAAAATCTGAAGAAATAAATTTGAAAATTGGCAACAACGTCTTAATTTGTGTTTGATTGTTTGTTCCTGTGAAACTTTTTTTTTTTTTTTTTTTGAGACGGAGTCTTGCTGCTCTGTCACCCAGGCTGGAGTGCAGTGGTGCAATCTCGGCTCACCGCAACCTCTGCCTCCTGGGTTCAAGCGATTCTCCTGCCTCAGCCTCCTGAGTAACTGGGACTACAGGTGCGCACCACCACGCCTGGATAATTTTTTTGTATTTTTAGTAGAGACGGGGTTTCACCATGTTGGCCATGATGATCTTGATCTCCTGACCTCGTGATCCACCAGCCTGGGCTTCCCAAAGTGCTGGGATTACAGGCATGAGCCATCGCACCCCTGCGAAACAATTTTAAATCATCCTAGTAAAAGTGGTAAAATTTAATGAGCATGCCCCAGGCATGTTATTTCTATATTTCAATTGGACCTTAATCTCAGGCAAATTCGTAATCTCATGATTATACTTCATATTATATTTCTGTTGAGGAAATCAAGGCATTGAAAAAATGCACAACTTGTCCAACTCTATACTGCAAGTAAGCAACAAAATTGGGTTTTGAGATAAGGGAGGCTGACTCCAGAGTCCAAGTTCTCAAAAAGGCCTAAGGAAATATTTTTATCATGTTGTTTTAAAATATTATATGTCAAAGTCCGAAATCAGTTGACAGTGACATACATATATCAAATTCAAGTACAACCACGATCAGAGCTTTTATCTAAAAATACACCTCGAAGTTTATTTCTTATTAGATTAGAGAAGGGTTTTTGTTTTGTTTCTGCTTGGTTTTTTGTTACCACTCTTTGAAAACTGGGAAAATATACTGCTATTTGTAGTTTTAACACAGTACACCAAAAATACTAAGTAAATCTAACTTTTTCTCTGATTCAAATTATATTTCTTAATGCACTTCTATTTAAAGTCATTCCAAAAACAACTCTTTTCCTCATGGTTAAAATTTTAAATAGTGTTATAGTATACCAGCAAGTATTTACTTACAACTTATAACTAGGGATAAGATATCTCTAATTTTCCATTTGGTGTATGTCAGTAATGTAAACATAATTAGGAACTCTGACTATATAGATTAACTTGACAATGAATTGGAAAAATGTGCTGCTAAAGGTTAAATTTATAGAGGAATTGGTGAGAAATGCCGTGTTCTGCAATTTATTGAACATGTCTTATCTAATAAATGTCTATGCCTTTCTTATCAAATGATTCTTAAGAGTTCTGTGTATGAAAATAGTTCACCTTGTGCATTTAAAATTACCCATTGATTGTAAGCAACTTTTTAATACTTTACAATAGATAGGATACTAAAAAACGTCAAGGACCAGTGAACCTGTTTTAATTCCATGTTAATTAATTTGAACTGCATGTAAAAGTTGAAGCCAGAATGAACATTACAAATAACGAACGCTTAACTGCAACTGTCATATCCTCCCGTGTCAATGGTGCCTATAATTGCTGTTGTCAACAGCTGCTTCAAATTGCCAAAAGACCCCAGAAACAATTCAGGAAGGAAAAGTTTTTAAATGGATCCACATTATGGAAAAAACTCTTCCTTTATAGTCACTGTTCATTTCCTGCATTGAAATATGACGTAGAAGCAACTGTAAGTAAGAAATTACGACCTACTTAAGTGCTTTTTAATAAGCCAAACTTTCATTATGTGAAATTTCTTTTTTGTAGTCATTTCAGTATCGACATACCACTAAATCTGAGATTACAACAGCAGTAGAAGTTTTGAGGAAGAGTACACTTTCACTATTTGTCATGATCTTTTCCATTCATTTACCTGAATCTTACGCATCACAGTTCCCTTCCTGTGTGATAAGCTTATCTAAAGTAGGAAACAAGCAATAATGCATATGAGTCTTCTATGGTGAACATCTCAGAAGTTGGTGATAAAAATACACATTTTTATCTTACATAATCTAAATAAATTTTAAATGGTAATAACACTAACTTATGGTGCAGAAAACTTTTGTTTTTTGAGATGGAGTCTCGCTCTGTCGCCAGGCTGGAGTACAGCTCACTGCAACCTCCACCTCCTGGGTTCAAGTGATTCTCCTGCCTCAGCCTCCCAAGTAGCTGAGACTACAGGTGCACGCCACAACACCCAGCTAATTTTGGTGCTGATAATTTTTATAAAATACATAATAAAAGATTTTTCTTAACATTGAATTTTCAGCCTATATCTTCTTGATATGTACTTTCAGCTTATTAGAACTTTGTTAAAAGTGGTATAACATTCAATTACATATTTACTCCTATAATAAAAATAATATATACTTCAAGTCTTTTTTTTTTTTTTTGAGATGCATTCTAGCTCTGTTGCCCAGGCTGGAGTGCGGTGGCGCAATCTCAGCCCACTGCAACCTCCACCTCCCGGGTTCATGCGATTCTCCTTGCCTTAGCCTCCTGGTAGCTGGGACTACGGGTGCCCGCCACCACGCCAGGCTAATTTTTGTATTTTTGGTAGAGATAGGGTTTCACCATGTTGATCAGGCTGGTCTTGAAGTCCTGACCTCAGATGATCCACCCACCTCTGCCTCCCAAAGTGATGGAATTACAGGCGTGAGCCACCATGCCTGGCCTACTTCAACACTTTACGAAAGTGCTACAAATATATGGCATTTCCCTATAATGACAGAAAAATGACAGCAGCAATACCATGTAGTAAACTGTCATTTCAGAGAGCAAAAGGAAAAAGAAAATCATTACAAAAATCACTCTGTAATGTCTTTGTTAGCATAAAAGAAAATTAAGCAGTAAAGTTCCAAGGAGAAATCTCTTTGTGCTCAACATGGTAGAAATATCATTCAAACACAGTTTATCCCTGCAGGGAGATTACCTGTAATGCCGCCAAGGTCACTGTCAAGTTGTATTAATGGCCATATTCAGTATGTCAGTCACATGAGTTGGAGCTGCCTTCTTCTTTTTTCTACTGCATAATGACCAGCCTCTAAATGTACACTGACAAACTGAGGTGAGTGAATATGTTTTTCCAAAATATAGATGGAAGAGTTTCATTCCACCAACTCTTCTATTTTAATTGTACCAAACACGTGGAATGGATATAGTCTGGCAGGAAAGAGGTTTTAAATATTCTACTTTGAAAATTGAACCATTTTTGAAATGGCACCTTGAATCTTAAAGGGAATTATTTGTGGCTGCATTGTGAATTTTCTTTCAAATGTACATTTGCTTATATTGCTGCAAAAGCACAAAATATTTTTTAAATGCAGGAATGACGTCTTTTTATATCAAAAATGTCACTGGAACATGGAGTTAGCAACAGAATGATTTAGTATTCAATAGTTAAGCTCTATTGCGGATTTGTAATTTTCATTTATCAACATTATTCATCATTTACAGAAGAAATGTGAGAGTGTAGACATATTGGCTTTTGAATACATCTACTGACTAGAGAGTAGCAGTCATATTTATGTAGAGTAAAAACAGATTAACACATCTTCTTTACAGGACTTATATTTAAATAGAATAAATCACACCCTGAAAGAATAAATGATATTCTAGTATGTTATAATAAGACTTGCTCGTAGGAGACATCTCTATTAAAAATTTATCACTTTAGCCCTAGAATACCAATGTAGTCCTAGTTTTGAGATTAGCAATCTATTATAATATCTGGAAATTTAGCAATTTCAATTTTCAATTTGCTATCAGAACTCAGCACTGATTTCTTTGTTTCACTTACATACTTTAATTCACCAAAACATTATTGAAATGACTGGGAAAGAAAGAAGACATGAAGAAGCACTTCCCTGCTTACATCAGCTGACCTGGACAATATTTTAAGACTATATTTAGAAAAAGATAAAAAGAGCTGAGTACAGCGACAATTCTCTGTGCCAACTTCCTCTATTACCACTTTTCTTTTCTTTTTTTTCACTTAGTAACTTGACTATAAAACACATGTTAAAAAAAAGGGAGAGAGAATAATCCCAGGACCTCTAGATAGAATTTTAACATGTGAATCTGGTACATAAAATTAGGATACAACATCAGACACCAATCTATACCTTTCATATGAGACCACCATTTCTATTTTGTTTATCTCATTTATATTTACACAATTTTTGGTAATGACTTGGATCACAAATGCATTCAAAGTTCCTCACATTTGAATTTGAACACAAACAATGATTATCTAAATTACAAAAGTTAGAGTCAAATAAATTCCACTTATAAAGTACATAACTAAAAAGTGGGAATACACAAAGTGCAAATAAACTTCATTCAGCACGCTTACAACTATGCTTACAACTAGCGATTGGGCATAAAATGTAACTAAAAATCCATATATAATATTTTAGCTGAGATTTTAAATCTTTAATTGTCATAACTTTTAAAAAGATGATATAGAATAATTTGCCATTTAAAAAAACTCCTCAAAGGTAAAGAGCAGAAAGACATTGTGGAGAGAATCTGCTGGATTTAAAAACTTAATAATGATCTGTATTTGAAAGACCAAAGTTATAGTGGCCAAAACCATTTTAGTAGAGGATAATAAAGCTAGTTCCAGAAAAATGGTTGAATGGCTACAACTTTCTAGTTATGTAACATCTCTTATTTTATAGAATATTGGGTAATCTTACACGGATGAAAAATTACATCCTTAAGGTAAAAACTCCCATTTTCACACATTTCTATCTCTCTACATAGTAATGATAATAGGCAATATGCTAAGTGCTTTATGCATATTATTTAATTCTTATAATTATTCTAGTCATAATAAGGTAGATAAGCTGAGGCACATTTTGAAATCTTCAGTAGTATAACTTCTCACTCCACACTGTTAACTAGTGATTTGCAACTGGGGTAAGCACATTATAAAAATGGGCACACTGATGAAAATTAAGTTTGGATTTTGGTAAAAAAATTGACACTCCTGGGGATACAAATTCCATTTGCCTATGTCATTCTTCTCTGTGAAAGAGTTAAAAGATTTTCTATACTAATGAATAAGGTATTTAGAGTTCTTAACGGGTGATGTAGAAGTAAGTAGTATGTGTTCTTGGATGACACAAAGATTCTTCAATATTGGAAAATACTTCTTAAAATAATATTATTGTGAGCCAGGCGTGGTGGCTAACGCATGTAATCCCAGCACTTTGGGATGCCGAGGCAGGTGGATCACAAGGTCAGGAGTTCGAGACCAGCCTGACCAACATGGTGAAACCCCGTCTCTACTAAAAATACAAAAATTCGCCGGGCATGGTGGCGCCTGCCTGTAATCCCAGCTACTCAGGAGGCTGACGCAGGAGAATCGCTTGAACCCGGGAGGCAGAGGTTGCAGTGAGCCGAGATCGCGCCAGTGCACTCCAGATTGGGCAACAGAGTGAGACTTTGTCTCAAAAAAAAAAAAAAAAAAAAATTCTTGTGCCAAATACTTTAAAATATTTTAAAGTATTTTTAATTTACTTGTTTCTAAATAATTTAATTTGAAAATAAAAAGCATTCATAAATCCACATGCTCCAACTGCTTAACCCTTAAAATTCACATATCTAAGAGCCAGCACACATGATTTTGGCTAATCTGTTGAATTCTATGGGAAATATCTCTTCTTTGTCCTGCAAAGATTGCAAAACTTATTTGTTAAAAATAAATAAATAATAAGGTCATATGCACATAATATATATACAGAGAATGAGTGTGATATTTGACTAACATGCAATGTTATCTAAGACTCAATTTAAAAATCTACAATAAAAGTTTGAACATATTTATTCTATTTAATCTGTGTCTTAAGTGTTTAACTTTGTATCAATCACATTCATGATTGGCCATTATTAAAGTTTTGTTTTCTCTGTTTCAGGCAAATGAATCTGCAAGCTGCCTTAAGAAATTATCTATCGTTAATCAATATTTCGAAATGCAGAAACTTCCAGAAATTAGCAAATCCAGTATACTCTAGATCCATTTTTAATTTAATAATTTGAATTGAAACCATTAACATTTCACTCCAATACTTTTTTAAAAAAACACTGAAGAGATAAATGACAAAAGTAAAGTCATATTTAATGACTTTAGGGTAGCTTGTAGGATAATGTAGGATTATGTGGTAATTATAAAATCTATTTCCTAGACCTTCCTCTCAAAAGGCAAAAACCAAAAATCCTTCAAAGCAAAATTTATTTTTTTTGTTTGTTTATTATACTTTAAGTTTTAGGGTACATGTGCACAACTTGCAGGTTAGTTACATATGTATACATGTGCCATGTTGGTGTGCTGCACCCATTAACTCGTCATTTAACATTAGGTATATCTCCTAAGGCTATCCCTCCCCGCCCCCCAACCCCATAACAGGCCCCGGTGTGTGATGATCCCCTTCCTGTGTGCATGTGCTTTTATTGTTCAACTTCCCCCTATGAGTGAGAACATGCAGTGTTTGGTTTTTTGTCCTCAAAGCAAAATTTCTTGACTGTAAAAGCTTAAAAAGGATAATGATTGTTAATTCTTGTTTTGTGTCATGCACTATTCTATTCATTTTACATATATTAGTTCATCTAATCTCCAGAAATATGCTTTGTAGTATTATGCCCATTTTACAGATGAAATGGAGGCAAAGAGGACTTCTTTTGCCCATGGTAAGAGGTAGATCTAGGGTTTGAAGTTACAGGATCTGACTCCAGCATCTGCTTTTTAACTATTACACTAAAAAGAGTCCAACATTTTAATGAAAAATAATGGCTATTTTGATTGCCATAAGAATGCAGCATCTGAGTGGGAACTGCCAAAGTAGATGAGGGTATGGAGGATTCAGAGTTGAAGAGGACCTTCAGGGCCACTATGATGCCCAGAATGCCCTTCACTTCAACATGGAGCAGTAATTGTAACCTCCAGATTTGTGTACACACTCTGATTTTGGTGATCTCTATGACACACACACACGCACACACATATACACATACACACACACACATATATATGCACACACACACATACATATAATTATTTAAGAAAGAATATATATGTACAGTTGACCCTTGAACAACACCCACAGGTTAGAACTGAGAGAGTCCACTTACACATGAATTTTCTTCCATCTCTACCACCCGAGACAGCAAGACCAACCCCTCTCTTCGTCGTCTTCATCAGCCTACTCAATGTAAAGATGAGGATGAAGACCTTAATGATGATCCACTTTAACTTAATATTTTCTCTTTTCTATGATTTTCTTAAGAACATTTATAACATTTTCTTTTCCCTAGCCTACTTTCTTGTAAGAATGCAGTATATTCCTGTCCAACGTGGTGAAACCCCATCTCTACTAAAAATAGAAAAATTAGCTGGGCGTGGTGGCGTGCACCTGTGGTCCCAGCTACTCAGGAAGCTGAGGCAGAAGAATCACTTGAACCCGGGAGGTGGAGGTTGCAGTGAGCCGAGATCGCGCAACTGCACTCCAGCCTGGTGACAGAGTGCCACTCCATCTCACAAAAAAAAAAAAAAAAAAAGAATGCAGTATATAATACATATAACACACAAAGTATGTGTTAATTGACTGTTTGTGTTATTGGTAGGGCTTCCAGTCAACAGTAGGCTACTAGTAGTTAAGCTTTTGGAGAGCCAAAAGTTATATACAAATCTTCAACTGCATGGGGGGTCAGTAACCCTAACCTCCACATTGTTCAAGGGTCAATTGTATTTTAGTAGAAAACTTGGCTACTTTGCTTCATTTTTGAATAATGCCATGACTTCACTTTGTCTTCCATTTTGATGTCAATCAACCTGTACAAGTATTGGATGCAGACTTACTAAACCCACTCAATATAAACAGCCTATCTGCTAGGATCTGGCTAATTTTTCTACTAGCTTTTAGCTTCTGCTTGCTAAGGTTCTATACGCTACTATTCGTAATAATTTCACATTCTCGATGATAAGTCGGCTAACTTAATTAAGGTTTAAAAATTCAGTATTTGGTCATGTACGACTCCTTATTTTATATTTTAAAATTAAAATAGTTTCATGCATTTATATTTGTGTGAATAGGTTGTAATATTTATTGCAAGTACTGGAAATTATAAAATGTATTTTCAGCATCTCAAAGAGATTAAAGTATTCTAATTGTACTAAAATGTACCAAGATGATTATTACTTGAACCTTTATAATGCAATCAATACAATCAGACTCAATCAATAAGTACTTTATATATCTGGAATATAAGCAATTTATCAAACTATTTGTATTTTTGTTTGCAACATTTCCATAATGACAAGTGAAAACTCGAATGACCAAAAGTAATTGTACTTGGCAGTCATATACATTCCTAAGCACTATAGTGACAAAAAATAACTTACTGCTATCATTATAGACATCATAACACGATTAAAAGAATTTTAGAACTGTATGTTGAACTGTATGTTCAACATTGGTTAGTAACAGAAAAGATTTATAATATTAAAAAACACATCCTTTAACTAAATACTTTAAATCTTTTCTATATAATTAAAAAGTTAATTTTAAAGCTATTTCTTCTAAAAAATGTTAGAAAAGCACACACCTAAAAGTACCAGTGGTGGGGTAAAAGTTGAGATGAAGAAAATTCATAAAACATGATGAGAAAAGGTAGTCAGAATTGCACTCTAAACTTAGTGCCCAAAAAAGACCATTCAGAGTAGTGGTCTCTCTATTTATTTGAACACTGGATTCTGGTTGTATTAACCATCACTTGAAATAAGTATACTGTACAACAATAAAACTTTCCTTAACAAAGATTTTTATTTTAATTATTTTATTTTTCCAAGCGATAATTAAAATGGTGCATGTGCTGCTCTTAAGAATGTAGTTCTAGCTGGGCACGGTGGCTCACGCCTGTAATCCCAACACTTTGGCAGGCCAAGGTTGGCAGATAACCTGAGGTCAGGAGTTTGAGACCAGCCTGGCCAACATGGTGAAACCCCGTTTCACCGTTTTTGTATTTTTAGGAGAAACTAAAAACACAAATACTAAAATACAAAATACAAAAATGAGCTGGGCACGATGGTGCACACTTGTAATCCCAGCTACTTGGGAGGCTGAGGCAGGAGAATCACTGGAACCTGAGAGGTGGCGCTTGCAGTGAGCTGAAATAGCGCCACTGCGCTCCAGCCTGGGGGACAGGGCAAGACTCTGTCTCAAAAAAAAAAAAAAAGAATGTAGTTCTAGCCAGACACAGAGGCTCATGTTGGTAATCCCAGCTCTTTGGGAGACCAGGGTTAGAGGATTGCTTGAATCCACAATTTCAAGACAAGCCTGGGAAACATAGCAAGACACTGTCTCTGTAAAACTGAAAAAAATTAATTGGGCATGGTGGCCTGTGCTTGTAGTCCCAGCTACTCAGGACGCTGAGGTGCGAGGATCACTTGAGCCTAGAAGTTCAAGGCTGCAGTGAGCTAGGATAGCACCATTGTACTCCAGCCTGAGCGATGGTGAGACTCCATCTGTTTTGGATTTTTTTGTTCATTTGTTTTTAAAAAAAAGTAAAGAAAAAGAATGTAGTTCTAGCTGAGTGTGCAATGAGTAGTGAGATCTTCTAGGCTGGACTTGTATACGTTTAAACAAGAGTTGATTACCAAACAGCTGTGTACACAGGGTAGCCAGGGAGCTTCCATTAGGACCATTAAGAAGAAACGTTCTGTTAGCTCCATAATGCCTAGACATTTAGTAAGTTGAAACAGTATAAAGTCACTATAATTAAATGGGCACAGATAATTGTAAACTGCCTGCAAAAGTGAAATCTATGCAAAATAAAAATGACAATCATTTTAGGCAACAATATTATTAAAACAAATATATCATAAAGACTGCTGGTGAAAAGTAAAACTTAGTGATTTGAATATCATTTTGATTTTCTTATTCCCATCATCATCTGATATTAAACAGCAATGGAAAATATAAAGGCATGATTTAGCTTTTATTAGATGTCCACGTAATGAATTTATAAAAGATATAAACCCTTTCCAATGTACTTGAATCTTCAGATATTTACAGGAATAAGCGATCCACATGGTCAGATGCTCATCACAAAACAAATAAAACAATTTACATGAATGCTTTGGATAAAGCTTAAACTTCAAACAAGGATAATAAGATGTACTATGTCTCCTAATAAATCATAAATGTGTCTTTCAACATTGTTTTATCAGTGACAACATTATTGTTATTTCATGACCTCACTTGTGACACAAACAAGAACCACAATCATTCCTAATTTTTACATGGGGGCAAAATCTGAGGAAGAACTGTAAAATTATAATTTAGGAAAGAGGTGGAAGCATTCTTTATCTATTACCTGCATGTAAAATGAATTAAAGACCATTGAGAGCAGCTTTTTGCAGCTATATAAGAACCATATTTTTGGTGAGACCAAAGCTTTAATCTATGAGACTTCTAAATCTCAGTTTTCTTCTCTGTGAAATATGTATTAGGATACAATAAATAGATACTATTGCCATGGGTTTATAGAGTAGTTATGATCAACATCCTTCAGCCAGTCAGGTAGTATAGCAGATGTGGTGCAAAAAATAATTTGTTAGTTGAGAGATTAGAAATCAATCAGGAAGTATATCCTGAATAGAAAGGTGAATAAAACTTAACCTCTGCACACCAAAGAGCCTACATTTTATCAAACTTGGAAAGATACTTTAAAAATTAACTTTAGTACAATGTAGAAATTAGTAAACACCATAAAAGAGACACTCAAAAAGTTCTCTGAAAGTCAGATGTGGGAAAGATAACACCATTGGGAAAAGCCTCATGGTGGAAATACTTCATCAACTACTTTTCCTAGATCTCTCTCACCTGAATTAGGATAATTATTACCCTTCATTCACTTGCTTCAAATTAATTCAACAAAGATGGAACATCTATTATGTGTAACAGACTCATACAGACCATAGAGAAAACAAAGATGAGTAAGGTGCAGTCTCCAAGCTCAAGGAGTTTACAATCTAACTTGGGTTGAGAATAATGTACATTTGTACATTATTTCCATTTTACAGTGCTATGTGCACATATCATTTCACACAGACCTTGAGAATCATGTTTACTGAAGTCACAAAAGTTGATATTTTTCTACTGTGATATGAAAAAAGGACTGCAATGAATCACAACTACCTCAGTAGAGCCTTTAGGGTCTTGTGCTTCCGAGAACTGAGATTCATTCTAATTTTAGTATTTATGTGAATGGCTTGACCCATTCTAGAATAGCTTATGTGTGGTTTACTACCCAAAGTGGTTCTATGCACAATAAAGGAGACAAGCATGGCAGGAGGTACACAGAAAGGGTGCTGGACCCCGTGCTGTCCTTGCTGAAGAATCCTGAAGAAGAGACACAAATTTAAAAAGAAGCTTTGGAACTTTTCCTCAGCTTTATAGTTCATTTTTAAACAGCTGTTTTTAAATGTTGGGATTTGAAAGAGTTTTGCTAAGTGCTATATAGAATATATAGGAAGCATTTAAATATATATCCATATTCAAGTTTATTTTCTTAAATAATTTGAAAATATTTTTATCTATAAAACAAATTACTTCCATTTTTAGAAAAGCATCATTACATTTTTTTGAATAGCACAACATACAGTAATAAGATGATATACTTCTTTTAACGATTTTGGATATTTTTTCCTTAACTGTTCACAGATTATTTTTCTGATACAAAAGAATAAACTAGTTAGTTGGATAATTTAAAAGCCAGTGAATAAAATAATGCTTTTCATGTTGCATGATTTTTATTCCCTTTCTGATACAGTTTGGCTGTGTCCCCACCCAAATCTCATCTTGAATTGTTCCCATAATCTCCACGTGTCATGGGAGGGACCAGGTGGAGATAACTGAATCATAGGGGAGGTTTCTCCCATACTGTTCTCCTGATAGTAAGTGAGTTCTCATGAGATCTGATGGTTTTATAAGTGGCTTCCCCATTCACTTGGCACTCATTCTCTTTCCTGCTGCCCTGTGAAGAGGTGCCTTCTGCCATGATTGTAAGTTTCCTGATACTTCTACAGCCTTGTGGAACTGTGAGTCAATTAAACTTCTTTTCTTTATAAATTACCCAGTCTCAGGTATTTCTTCATAGCGGTGTGAGAACAGACTAATAAAGTAAATTGGTACTGCAGAGAGTGGGACACTGCTGTAAAGATGCCTGAAAATGTGAAAGCAACTTTGGAACTGGGTAACAGGCAGAGGTTGGAACAGTTTGGAGGGCTCTGAAGAAGACAGATTTGGGAAAATCTGAAACTTCCTAGAGACTTGTTGAATGCCTTTGACCAAAATACTGATAGTGATATGGACAATGAAATCCAGGCTGAGGTGGTCTCAGATGGAGATGAGAAACTTGTTGGGAACTGGTGTAAAGGTAACTCCTGCCATGTTTTAGCAAAGAGACTGGAGGCATTTTGCTCCTGACCTAGAGATCTGTGGAACTTTGAACTTGAGAGAGATGATTTAGGTTATTTGGTGGAATAAGTTTCTAAGCAGCAAAGTGTTCAAGAGGTGACTTGGGTGCTCTTAAAATCATTGAGCTTTATGCATTCACAAAAATGTGGTTTGAAATCGGAACTTATGTTTAAAAGGGAAACACAGCATAAAAGTTCAGAAAATTTGCAGTCTGACAATGAGATGGAAAAGAAAAACCCATTTTTTGATGAGAAATTCAAGCCAGCTGCAGAAATTTGCATCAGTAACAAGAAGCCAAATGTTAATCACCAAGACAATGGGAAAAATGTCTCCAGGGCATGTCAGAGACCTTCATGGCAGCCCTTCCTATCACAGGCCCAGAGGCCTAGGAGGAAAAAAAGGTTTTGTGGGCCAGGCCCAAGACCTTGCTGCTCTGTGCAGTCTTGGGACTTGGTGCCCTGTGTCCCAGCTGTGGCTAAAACAGCCTGAGGGAACAGCTCAGGCTGTTGCTTCAGAGGGTTCAAGCTCCAAGCCTGGCGGCTTACACGTGGTGTTGGGCCTATGGGTACACAGAAGTCAGGACGTGAGGTTTGGGAATCTCTACCCAGATTTCAGAGGATGTGTAGAAATGCCTGGATGTCTAGGCAGAAGTTTGTTTCAGGGGTGGAACCCTCATGGAGCTGCTAGGGCAATGCAGAAGGGAAATATGTGGTCAGAGCCCTGACATCTGTGTTTCCACTGGGGCACTGCCTAGCAAAGCTGTGAGAAGAGAGCCATCATCCTCCAGATCCCAGAATGGTAGATCCACTGACAGCTTGCACCATGCACCTGGAAAAGCCACAGACACTCAATGCCAGCCTGAGAAAGCAGCCAGGATTGGGGGGCTGGGGGGCTATACCCTGCAAAGCCACAGGGGCAGAGCTGTCCAAGGCCATGGGAGCCCACCTTTTGCATCAGCATGACCTTGATGTGAGACATAGAGTCAAAGGTGATCATTTTGGAAATTTAAAGCTTAATGACTGTCCTACTGGATTTTGGGCTTGCTTGGGGCCTGTAGCCCCTTTGTTTTGGCTAATTTCTCCCAGTTTGAATGGGTGTATTTTCCCAATGCCTATACTCCCATTGTATCTAGGAAGTAACTAACATGCTTTTGATTTTGATAGGTGGAACTAACTAACATGCTTTTGATAGGTGGAAGGGACTTGCCGTGTCTCAGATGAGACTTTGGATTTCGACTTTTGGGTTAATATTAGAATGAGCTAAGACTTTGGGGGACTGTTGGAAAGGCATAATTGCATTTTGAAATGTGAGAATATGAGATTTGGGAGGGGCCAGGGGAGAAATGATATGGTTTGGCTGTGTCCCCACCCAAGTCTTATCTCGAATTATAGGTCCCATAATCCCCACTTGTAATGGGAGAGACCAAGTGGAGATAATTAAATCATGGGGGTAGTTCCCCCGTACTGTTCTCCTGATAGTGAGTTCTCATGAGATCTGATGTTTTTATAAGGGGCTTACTCCTTCGCTCAAAACTTATTCCCTCTCCTGCCACCCTGTGAAGGGGTGCCTTCTGCCACAATTCTAAGTTTCCTGAGGCCTCCCCAGCCATGTGAAACTGTGAGTTAATTAAATCTCTTTTCTTTATAAATTATCCAGTCTTGGCTATTTCTTCATAGCAGCGTAAGAACAAACTAATACACTTCCTTTCTTCAGATTTCCTGTAAAGTAGCTGAATGTGTGCTTAAATTATGGTCCAAGTCTAGAGGACGCAGAGAAAAATCTCAAAGCATGATTTTAAAAACAATGAAATTTATAAAACAGCAACAACAAAAACTCTGTGAATTAAATACATGCAGTATTGTTTTTAGACTCATAAGAATATCCAGCAAAGTATTTTCTTCCTATTAATTTAATTTTGACAAATTGAGGCATTTCTTGATAATGAAATCCAACTTGTGAATATGTACTTCAAATCAACTCAATGCATACATCTTTCCTCCTTGCAAAAACAGGATCTCCTCAATCTTCCCTCCACGCTCCTACATATGCCTATCACCTCAAGACCAACCTCTACATTCAAGCCTCACCAATCTTTTTTCCTGTCTCTCATATAGGAATTCATGTGTAATATTCACCTACAATATATTCAAGGTACTTTTCCAGTCATTTCAGGGGACCCTTAAAGAAGCAAGACTCCATAGAGATTGGAATAAAGGGGGTGACAGAATTCATTTGCTCATTAATTTAGCAAGTTAATCATGGGCCTTGGCTGCATTTATAGTTGGTGACCATAGGCAACAAAACTTAAAGCCCACCTGGGATGTCAGGAGGAGGCAGCCCAGTAAGAGTTAACTAGAAGACAAAGAAGGGAGCAAAGTGCATTTGATAAGGGTATGGATTCTGGGACCCACCCACCTATGTCCTTATCCTCATTGTGTGCAGACCTTCTCTGGCCCTCACTTACATGCACACATCCTTGTCAGTTTCCTAATCCTGGATCAGTTAGTTACTCCTTGGAGAAATCTCTTTCTCATGTGTTCTGCATGTCAGCTAAAGACAACTAATAAACATTTAGAGTGATGCTTATTATACATCTGCATTAAGGAATAAAAAACGCTATTTTTAAAAAAAACATAAACTAAGAATACTTGAATCTTTAAGCAGTAATCCTCAAACTTCACATTCTAATTATTTAAATATCATGTTCAAAGTTCTCCCCAGGAAGGTAGTAGTGAGACGTGTATTTTGAAGGAGCACTGCAAACCATTCTGAGGCCTATGTATGGTGGATTACATTTTGCACATCTCGACATTGTTTTCATTGTTTCCACAAAAATTCTGCCTGTCTCGTCAGAGTGCTTTGATTAAGCATTACTGGTTATGGCAAACTTGAACTATATAATTGTTATTTGTATTACAACATCCATATGGCTTCTTACTATTTTTAAAATTGTTATTAAGAGTGTACACTAGGTATTTGTGGGTTCATGTGAGAAAATAACAAGCATTTAAAAAACTCTTTCCATGAAAAAATAAATTCTGGATTTTCCAACATAACTTTAAAACAGAATTTTGGGATGCAAATTATTCATAAGCTGCAGTGTGACGGTATTCCTGGGAACATAATGGTATGTTAGAGTCTTTACTCAAAAGCAAGACACCCAGTGACAAGGCACATTCAAGCTCTTCTGTTAAGATCCCGCTCAAGTGTTTTCTCCTTTGTGAAGTATTTCCAGAATCCTCATGTAGCACAGATTAGGCTTTTTATTTCCTGTGTTATCAAAAATGTAGAACCAGCATGCAAGGAAAATCAAGGAGAATGCCGTTTCACATATGAAAGTTCCTGTATTAATTAACTGAAGATGACAGTGTTCTATAGCAAGAGGAAAGCATTAATGTTTTCAGTATCCTATTTTAGTTCATACCTGACAGAATGTTATATAACTGCTACAACCTCATCCTAAAAGAAGCCAATAATTTGAAAATTAGATTGATCTAATTAATTGTACACATTGGGAAGTTGCGCTCAACGAGCAAAAACTCTTTGCAGACATGACAGATGTAAAGCTAATGGCTACAAGTCTGCAAAAATATTTGCTCATTTATGAACAAGTCAACAAATTTGAGGTTTTATTTTCTTGTGGGAGTCAATTCAGAAGTGTTCAACAAAAATATATTTTAGTTTATTTTCTTTTTAAACAGAACAAACACATTGGATACTGTAGCAGATACTAATATTTTCTTTAAACAGCTTCATAAAGTTCGATAGGGCAATTCATGATAAAGTTTCTTAAACCATACAGGTCTAATCATTTTATTAAATGCTTTCTCTAAGTAGGAAAGAGTATAAATTTCCTTTAGGTAATGGAAATATGTTACATTTTTATGGCCAATTCAGCCTTCTAATAATGACTGGAAATGCCTGTGAAACCCTATGTTTCACAGGTAGGAAAGGACAACAGTTTCTTTTACATAATGGCAATATGTTCCATTTTTACAGTAGGTTCCACATTCTAATAATTATGGAAAGTGCCAAAGAAATGAATGAAGTACCTTCTAATTTTCTTCCACTTCTGTAAGGCTGGTAAGGGGGCAATCCTGCTACTTCTAATGTGGACAGGTGAATAAATGCATGAAACTATTTGTATGCTTTTTTTTTTTTTTATGGTAAGGTAGGTTTTTGGCAACCTTGTCTCAATTGCCAGGAAGCTGTGCCTGCTGGTCATAATGGTGGATTTGTCCATTCTCTATTTCCCTTGACATTTCCCCCCTCTAAAATCATAAAACAAAATGAAATATTTTGTTTTTAGAAATTGTAATTTTTTTTTCACTTTAAAAAATGCCATATTCCAGGGCTTACCTTTCAGACAGTCTTAGGTTATGTCTGTGTGCCAAATGCAGCCCAATGGGGTGGTCAGATTCACCCAGCAGAGCTGCCCCGCTCAGCAGAGCCTAGCAGCTATGATCTGGAAGTGTTGGCCCCACCACATGCATGACATTAAGATGATACATAGCAATCCTGCAAGACTACAGTTTAAGTAGAGCTTCCAATTTGCTGTGGTTGGCATGACCTAATTCTGGCTTGAAAGGTACATTTTTCCCCCTCTGGGTTTCACTGACTACACATTGGAGAAAAAAAAAATGTTCTTCAAGGGATTCTCTTTCCTTTCTTAAGGAAATTTAGAGAATTTAACAACTGTTGGCCTCTGGCTAATACCCAAACTAAAGTCTTTTTCCAGCTTCGCCTACATCTTGACCCCTCATGCCAAATATTTTAGGGAGTCTATTTATAAAGTTCATCACTTCCCCTGTTACTTCATCTTTAGAAATGCCGATAATTTAGAAACTGGAATGATGCGGCTGGTCTCACAGATGAAAAAAAGCAGGATTCTATAGAAAATTTTCCTGTCATAACTTAAGAAATTAATTTATTTTCTTCTCAATTCTACAGCTAGAATGGAAGTAACACCAATGTTCTGCATTTGCTTCACCCTAGTGTTCAAAGATGTTTCAAAGTTGTAGAGATTTTGAATGTTCCACTAACAGTAGTTCTTAATGCTGACTATACATTTCAATCACTTCAAACACTTTTTAAAAACACTGATACCCAGACCCATCCCAGACTGATGAAATCAGGATTGTTGGACCAGGTTCCCTGGCATTGTTACTTGTTAAAAACTCTCCAGGAGATTCCAATGTGAAGCCAGATCTGAAATGAATCATATTAAAACTCTTAGAAACATAACCACTGCAACACAGGTATGTTGTTGCATTATCTCCCTTGGATGTGGTATGTTCTTGAAATTTACCGGTCTATCCAGTTCTGAGCTAATTCACCTGAGAGAGTTTCTCAGCTACTGCACGAAGTGAGAGAAAAAAAAATTCATATGGACAACCTGACACTTAATAGATTTATAAGTTAAAATCACAGAAAGCTTTGCCTTTCTGAGACAACAGTCCTGATAAATATGCCCCTTTTCTGCAGAACCAGTATTAGGAACTTTCAAGGGCTTGCAAAGTAATCATTTTTATCTGGATCATATTGACTCTTTGGAGGGTTTTCAGTTGTATTTAAAAATATAAATTTCACCTTGTGATATTTACTGACTTGCAAATCTCTAATAGTATGCTAATTAAATTCAATGCTGTATACTTAATTTACTCAAGGTGATAATTTTCTAATTGCATGTATGATGTTAATGTATTATCTATTTGAGATCAAATTCACTACATTTTGTGACTTCCAAAAAAGTCAATCCATTAGACCAAAGTTCTCAGTCTTTCACAACTAATTTATTTCTCTACCTCAGTCACTGGGAAATGGTATTAGTAAGCAGTGCAACCCAGTTCTTCCACCTCCCTCCACATGAAACAGGTCTTTTTTCATTAAGTACCTGGTTTGTGAAGGTAACGTTATCTAGCAGCTGCGACCAAAAGGTTTACAGACTTGGAATTTTGTTCCATTATATAACTGAGATCATTATCTAATCCCTGCTCTTTACATAAAACTTTATGTGGTTCATTTTATGGTAAGGCTTCCTACGAAATAATAAAACAATCTTTTTCTATAGAATTTGTGGAACTAGTATTTTTATTTTCCTGTCATGTCTTGCCTTTTCTGACTTCTGTCATACACACAAACACACACACACACAGAGATACATGTGTATGTTTGTTTGGCAACATAGGAGGGACAAGCTTAGTTTCTCGTATTCTACGTGTCTTATAAGATCATGGTTTGCTATGTTTACAGATTTATCCCCTTCTATTAGAGTACCCGAAGTTCTTTTAAAATATACAAGATGTTTTCCTACTGGTATGACATCCCTGAAGTACTTGTCTTTCTTTAGTTTTATTCTTTTAGAACAAGAAGGAAAAAAAAAACCCGAGAAATAACCTTTAAAGTTTTTTAAAAATTACTTTGTAAGAGATGTAAGTTGAATCTCCTCTATATAAAGTATTCTTGGGTAGCTCCCTGTTTGGCCCTTTTCTCTTATTCATAACTTGTCCCATATCCCTTGTCAAAACAGTGGGTTGCAGGGGAGGACCCGGATCAGGCCATCCTTCCTTTCAGCTGTGTCTAGGAAATAGGGCAGGAGTGGGCGCTGAGGAGGAGTATGTCCTCCCAGTTACCTTGAGATCTGCCACAGTGAGGTTTCTATGGCATACCAGAGAATGGAAAGAAGATTAGGTTGGCACTTCCTACTTCTGATACCATCTTCACGGCTTCATTAGGTGCCCCCAATTTCCACAGAATCTGAAGTTCTGGGCAAGGCCTGCACAGCTTTTCTAAATGAGAAAGCAAAGTTGAGAATATGGCAGGCCATACGAAAAACATATGAAAGTCTGCTATGCTTCCAGAGGGCAGACTAGCCCCCAAAACTTTTTTCTGGAGTACTGCCAGGATTTGACTCATCATTTAAGACTCACCTTAGGCATCCTTGACTGAAGATTGACCTAACCAGTCATCTCCCAAAAGAGCTGAACATTCTATCAATTAAGCGTTTACCTCATTTTCAACATGCCTGCAGTATAGTGTTTATCACATTACATTTATAATTGCACTTTGCATATTCAACTCCCTCATCAGACTGAATTCCTCAACAACAGAGTTTCCATCTCTCACTTTTGTATCCCTAATGAAACACTCCCATGAAACACTTAGTGAAAAGTTGACTGATGTGTTAATAAATTTATACAGTTGACGTCCAAGAAGTGTTGGGCAATAGCAGTAGACATTTTATTGGCAGAGCCAAAGGTAGTTTTCAATTTATAGGTTTATTTGTTTCTGAAACTGTAAGAATGCATGGATTTGTATGCCCAAGTTCAAGATTCACTATTTTGAAATATACAATACATTATTATTAACTATAGTCAACACACTGTGCAACAGAATACCAGAACTTATTCCTCCTCCTGTCTCACAGAAATTTTGTACCTGTTGACCTATGTCTTGTCTCCCCTTTCCCCATCCACTCCCGCCTCCATTTCTGGAAACTGCCTTTCTACTCTCTACTTCTGTAAATTCAGCTTTTAACACTACACGTACAAATGAGATCACACAGTATTTGTCTCTCTGTGCCTGACTTATTTCACTTAACGTAATGTCTTTTAGGTTCATTCATGTTGCAAATGACAGAATTTCTTTTTCTTTTTTTTTTTTTTTGAGAGAGAGCCTCGCTCTGTCTCTCAGGTTGGAGTGCAATAGCACCATCTCGGCTCACTGCAACCTCTGCCTCCCAGGTTCAAGTGATTCTCCTGCCTCAGCCTCCTGAGTGGCAGGGATTACAGGGATGTGCCACCACGCTTGGCTCTATTTTGTATTTTTAGTAGAGACGAGGTTTCACCATGTTGGCCAGGCTGGTTTCAAACTCCTGACCTCAGGTGATCTTCCAGCCTTGGCCTCCCGAAGTGCTGGGATTATGGGATTACAGGCCTGAGCCACCATGCCCAGCCATGTTTTCTGTTTTTTTTTTTGTTTTTTTTTTTAAGGCTGAATGGTATTTCACTGTGTATTCAATGTTCTCCACACAAAGAAATGATAAATATTTGAGGTGATAGTTATGTTAATTAGCCTTATTTGATCATGCTATAATGTATACATGTGTGGAAATATCACATGTACCCTATCAATATATACAGTTATTATATGTTATTTAAAAATAAAAATTCACATTTATCTTCTTTTAACTAGTGGTTCTCAACCCAAGCTTTACATTAAGAGCTCCCAGGCAGCTCGGAGAAACTGCAATACCTGGATGGCAGGCCAATTTAATCTGAATCTGGGAGTGGAACTTGGGCATTGGTGTATGTGTGTATATATTTGTATATTTGTAATATGTGTATTTACATATTTATAAATACACATAAATATAAATATGCATATTATAAATATACATAAATACACAAATTATATATATGTATATTTATATATTTAGAGACCAGGCCTTACTCTGTCACCAGATTGGAGTGCAGTGGCACTACTATAGCTCAGCACAGCCTTGAAGTCCTGGCTCAAGAGATCCTCCAGCCTCAGTTTCCCAAGTAGTTAGGACAACAGGCATATGCCACACCATCACGCTTGTTTTTTCAAATTTTTTTTTTTTTTTTTGAGATGGAGTTTCGCTCTGTCGCCTAGGCCGGAGTGCAATGGCGCAATCTCGGCTCACTCACCGCAACCTCCGCCTCCCGGGTTCAAGCGATTCTGCCTCAGCCTCCTGAGTAGTTGGGATTACAGGTGCCCAGCAGCACACACAGCAAATTTTTGTATTTTTAGTACAGACGGGGTTTCTCCAGGTTGGCCAGGCTGGCCTCGAACTCCTGACCTCAGATGATCCACCTGCCTCCGAAAGTGCTGGGGTTACAGGCATGAGCCACCATGCCTGGCCATTTAAAAAAAAAAATTTGGAGACTGGATCTCACTATGTTGCCCAGGCTGGTCTCAAACTCCTGACCTCAAGTGATTCTGTAGCCTCAGTGTCCCGAGTAGTTAGGATTACAGGCAAGAGCCACTGTGCCCACCTAACATCAGTATTTTAAAATAATTCTCCTTACAGCCAAGGATTCAGAACCACTTATCTAAGCTAACTGTTCAAAGGAAATCCAATGTTTTATACCTATGACCTTGTCACTTGGCATATACCAAAGATCAGTTACAGCCCATAGTTTTCTAACGAATTCTGCTTGTGAGAAACTTAGTTGATTTTAGTCTTTGGATGATTAAATTTTTTAAAAAGGCTTTTGAAGTGCAGTATTAGCTACATCGCAATCTTCTTCAAGGAATATTACTAATAAGTTTATGCAATTATCTTTTATAGAATTAGCCAACAGCTATAACTTCCTCCTCAGTCTTAGGGTAATCCAGGCCTTTACAGTGAATAATTATTTCCTGCATATTTACAACTCAAATGGATATTAATATAAATATGGTGTTTTATGGAGTCTTAGAGCGTGCTTTACAGTTAGAAGATTCCAAAGAGACAGAATTCAAACAACTTTAGTCAAAATCACATTAGGAAGTAGATATAACTGGCCTCAGTGGTTTTGCTGGAAAGAGAAGAATGAACACTGAGTGTTACCAATGGGACTTAATATTGCATAAAGCACACAAAACTTCCCCGCCAGTGGGCATCGTAAGTGACAGGAAGGCTGTTTATCACTGAAATCAATTAATTCCAAATAACACATTGAATCCCCAAATCTTTAAGTCACATTTCTTTTCTTTTTTTTTTTTTTCTTTTGAGATGGAGTCTTGGTCTGTAGCCCAGGCTGGAGTGCAGTGACTCTATCTCGGCTCACTGCAAGCTCCGCCTCCTGGGTTCACGCCATTCTCCTGCCTCAGCCTCCCGAGTAGCTGGGGCTACAGGCGCCCGCAACCACGCCCGGCTAATTTTTTGTATTTTTTAGTAGAGACGGGGTTTCACCGTGTTAGCCAGAATGGTCTCAATCTCCTAACCTCGTGATCCGCCGGCCTTGGCCTCCCAAAGTGCTGGGATTACAGGAGTGAGCCACCGCGCCCGGCCCAAGTCACATTTCAAATAGACGAATTTTTAAATACAGAGAGCATAGATTATTTGCATGCTTGCATGGTAATCCAAACAAGCATTTCATTCTCTTCAACAGTGAAACAAAGCGGAAGCAAATGTAGTTACTAATATGAACTGTGGAAATTTGGCAAGGAATCCATGACATTAAAGATATGGTAGCTATTAATTTTGAAGTCCAAAGCTTGTATATCTGGTAATTCAGAAATATCTGAGTCCCATTTGACCTCTGGCCAGCCTCTCTGTCCTCACTTCTAGTCAGCAGTACGGCAATACTTTTATGAAAAAACAAGGAAACTGTTTATTAGAATAAAGAAAGTTCATATTGTTTCTCATGGTAAAAATTCTAAAAATGATCCTTTTCCTTTTTCAAAAGGTCTTTTACTGAACCCAGAAAAATTCAGTTAAAAGCTAAAAGCTATGCACTTGATGAATAAACTTGATATAATATTTCTTATTTTCAAATATAATATGACCTTGTTCTAACTCATCAGTAGTTATTTCACATCTAACTTTGGTTTTAAAGTTTTGTTGTTTTCCTTTTTTAACTACAAAGAAAAAGTTTAAAGGTGTTCTTGAAGTTGAATTCTCTAGAATATCCATCTGCACTAATTAAATTTACTGAATAACTCCTGAAATCCATTTAATATTCATTTATAGGCTCTGTTATACATCTCACATTTTTGAATTAAAACCATATAAATTACTATGATTCTTGCAAATGAAGGTTAAAAATTAAAACAGCTCAAGAAATGAATAGCAAAGTGGTCACTAGACAGTGATGACATAAAACGAGATTTTCCCATTTCAATTAACGCTAATATCGTAGCTGGAAAAATATATTTTCGCAAATAGTAAGACATTGCTTGTGAAAAGATTTATCAAGCAGTTGATAATATATGTTTTTCTCACTTCACATCAACAATGTGGAAGTATATATCACAGGCCAAGAATTAATACACTTCTTTTTAAAAACAATACAAACATGTTTACACAAACTTAGTTATATTGTCATTCCAAGGTTACTAAATATTTTTCCCTAAGATGCCAGGCAAAATTAAGACTCAATAATTGACTCTTTCCTTCTTCTTATCTAACAGATAAGATCATGTATGTGAGATTTTGGCTTAATAAGAAGAGAGTGGACTTGAGACTATCTGGGGTTGAGATTCTAGGTCTGCCATTAAGTGGGTAACTTTGGACAAGTTACTTTGTAAATTTTTACCTCAGTTTCCTCATCTATATAATCGGGATAGTAACTGCACCTACCTCATTAAGTTTTGAGGAATAAATGAATTAATGCATATAAAACTTCAGGCCTATAGAATAGTGCTCAAGTATACGGTATGCTCTCAAAAAAATGTTAGCTGTGGTTTTTATTGTCTTATTATAATTAGTAATTCTTTCAAATTAATAATATAAGCTTTTACACACATATCATAAAAGTTATTAAAATTATTAGAGATATTTTGAGTAGTGACGCTGAAGAAAGTAAAAGTGGAATTCCTAAGTCATACTTGAAAGTATCAATTATATTTATAGAAGATCAGTCCTACTTTCAACCACCAAGCCAGCAAGAATTGAAAACCAACTGGTCAACATATGTCGATGCAGATGGAAAAAGGATACAACTGTCTTTAAATTCCCTAAAGAAAGCTGAGTGGAGAGCCTTCTGGTCACTGCAGTCCAACCTATCATTACGCGTGCAGCGAGACTCTTTGATGGATTTCTTAGTCTGTGAATAATATATATTTTGGGGACAGTGTCACAAAAATAATCTGTCTTTGCTCCAAAAAGACCTATGACTAAGCAAACGCAAAGAAAGAATTACCTCCCAACCACAAAGGAGGGTGGTACCCCCTGTGTTGGAAATCAAGACAACTGGCAAAACTTTAAAAAGTATTTTTGAGATAAAAATGGCCCCACGGTGCATATCCTGGAGAACCAGGAAAATTTCACGTTTCGGAACTACTCTTCCTTTAACTTTAAAAAATAAAGCTGGGGGAAAAATATCTGATTACTTCTTTATGAAGCATTACTAAATAAAAAAGCCTACCTTTTTAGAAGATCTGGTATTTACAAGCATTTCACAAGGCAAAACACAACTGCAAATATTCAGTTTCGGTGAATACTGCTAAGAGGCGTAAGCTTTTCCCCCAGTGAAATTTGGGATGATATTTACACTTTGAGTGATAGAAGATTTTAAGGATTAGTAAATCAGGATAAGTATAACTAAGTTTGCCTCTGGAGTTTTGTCTTGAAAGGATGTCATGTATATTCAAATTGCAGCAAAATAAATGATTCTGCTTGTTCTCCAAGTCCGTGTGACACCCCCCACCCAATACTGGCATAGTTAGTTAGTGAGGCTGTCTACTTTCTTGTAACACACTACAATTCTCCCCCACCTCTACCACCGGTACTTTAAGGAGAAGAGAGAGAGGCTATGACAACCCACATGATTCAACTAGAACATTCTTATCAGTTCACCACCTATGATTCTTGGCCTTTTATGCCAAGAGCAAATATTCCGAATTACCCAAAACAAAGCAATGAAATTACTTACAGGTTAGATAAAAAGTCGAGTTATCTGATGTGTAAGATTACAGATAAATTAAAATGTTGGCAGTAAAAAGTGAACTCCAGAATTGTTCTTTATGATTCATCTTAAATCTATGTGCTATGTTCACATCGTCAAAAAACATTATAAAATCAACTTACAATAGGCACGTATACATTATAATATTTGATATAAAACAAGGATTCCTTTTTCTTTACGAATTAAGAAAACTTACTACAACAAGCACATGATAGAACTCTAGAAAGATAATTTAGCAATTAATCTATATGATGTGACAACAGTGCCAGTGAGTTCTAACTGTAAATTATTATCTTGCTATAATGGCAAAGTTGTTTCACAAAGGTCTTAATTTATATTGCTGGATTTGTCTATGTGACAATATATCAGTTTCACAATCACGTTATGTCTTAAATGTATTTTGTAATTTTTTCCTAGGCAGAAATCTAAAACTAGTTTTCATATATATATATATATATATATATACATATATATATATATATACACATATATATATATATATACACATATAGCTTCATTTGTACAAATTGTCATTCCTTAAAATATTTTCTTAATCTGCATTTTTAGTGCATGTGAACTATAACTTATTTAAAAAAGTTTAATTTTCCTGAACGTTGTATTGTTCTCCAAGTCAAAAATTATTTTAAAATGCTAAAACTAGCACTTAAGTACCTTTTTAAAGCCTTCAATTCTGGGAGATATTTAAATACCATGAACTGTACACAACATGTAAATATGTCCATTATCTATCTGCATATGCAGTCCCTACTTACTACACATACTTGACATTTCAAATTCTGTTAACTTACTACACTTATTAATTCAGAAACGAATGCAACTTCCATTGCTCAAATTTTTTTAATTCACATAGTACCAGAAAAATTATTTTTTATGAAGACAACAAAAACTGATTTTTTATTAAGAACAGTCAATAGAAATAGAGAAATCTTAACGAACAAAAATTAATTTCATAACTAATTATCTAGTATGCTTTTAAAACATGCATGCTTACAAAAATAAAATGTCACATTATTTTGTGAAAGGATGGTGTATCACGCGTCTCTATATGGGCTAAGAAAGTTTTGGTAGTTTAACTACTTTGGGTTTAACTTAGTGGTGTCAAACACTTAGGGAAATCAGTACTATATATCAGATCAAATAACTGGTACTTACGGCCATATCCTAAGTATTCTATTACAATACATTTTTTAAACAATGCTTTGACTTGAGTAGGAAGGTAGGTTTGCTTTTAGTATGAGGGAAGATATGTATTGAAGGATTATGCAGTAAATTTCATAATTGGAAATTTAATAATTTTATCTAAAAATCTTTGGTTTATTTTAAACAATCCTATAAAAATTTACTCAAATTTTAATATAATACATTTCATAATTAAAGATGTTTGTGAACTTTTAAAATTTTATTTTTAATGGAAAGTAAATATTTGGTCAAAAATATGTTTGGAAGAAAGCTTTTGGTTTATGAATATAAAAGTTTCTTAGAAATCTCTTAAGGGCTGAGCACAATAAAACTAGGGCAATGCATATATTCTCAGTTACTCTTTAAAAAAACCTGTAAAAGTGACTATAGTGGCATGTTCTGACACATTCTTTTCATAAACCGAACCCTGTTAGTGACAGCAGAACAGATTGTGTGCATCTGCTGGGAATGAGCCAGATGACAGTGGAAAAACGCACATGGATACCTTGGCACAGCAAATAAAAAATGGAGAAAAAAAGACCTGGAAGAGAAAGTGTTCAACTTTAATTGAAACATTCTTTCCAACATGATGAACATCATCCAACCACCTCTTTTAGCCTGTCAATTTTACATATAAAAATGTGTTTTAAAGGAGTTCTTTGTAAATTAGAGCTGTTTTGTCCTCTCTCAGCACTAAATATTGACTCCGGTTTTGGGTTATTTCTTCAAATTATGGCAATGTAATAAGCATTAGGGTAGAAAAAGAGGCCAAACCACTCTACCACAGCCTGGTACAAAAACACTAAACTTATAAAAACCCTTTCGGGTTCAAGTCAAATTTTAAATATCTGGGGTAAGTTTTTGAATTATGTGGGTATTGTATTGACAAGTGCCAAAGATGCCACAATTCAAATATTCTGCAAATGTGACTATTGTAAATGTTGCTTGTGCTCAAGAGTGCTACAATATTTTATTTTATGCTGATCAACCACAGTATTGTTTAAACAGTTGGCTCAATAGCGGTAGAGAGGTCCATACATAAAAACAAATGTGCTTCTATAAATCATATCAAGAAGTTTTCTCGGATGCTCTGATTACAATGAAAATTTATTCTATACAGTTACAATGCAAATTTTAAACTGAAGATGAAGTTGTTTAATAGATTAGTAGTCTGACTGAAGCAGCTGCAGTCAAAAAAAATTCTGGTGATTAACAGCCATTTTCCAGTAATCATAACCCTGGAAAGGGCTACTAAGTAGGGGGAGGGGGTTGCAGATGGGAATAATTCTCTAAGCCCATGTGCCTTAGAGGGCTCCATCATCTTCATGCAGACTTATTATTATTATTATTATTTTTAAATTAAAGCTTTTAGAGGCGTCCTTGATTGCAGTGTTGGGAGCTGTCCATGCTGTTTTACCATAGGGAAGTCCACTCTGCAAGTATTCCTTGTGCTGAGCACTCTTTATCCAGGCATTAAAACAGAGTTAGAAAAGAAAGCTGAAATGCAAGGTGCACACTAAAGGGGCATTATTCAAAAGCATGATAACAATTTCAAGTGGTTGCAACTAGCCAGGTTGTATAAACTGGGCATGTCTCATCAATATTACCTGACATCCAAAATATGATTTTTTTTGAGAAACCATGTGAACAGAAAAGCTGAACAAAAGGGGTTCCCTGACACCAGTAATACTCACATTTTTAAATCTACATTTTACCTAAATTTGTTTGCGTTATCAGAAGGTATAATCCTCAGGTACAATTCTGCATTTTCTATACTTTATGTTTTTTTCTTACATAAATAAAAATACCCAAATTAAGACAAGTTCACTTATTCATCATCTCAAAGTTGATAAGCTGTGGTCATAATGAATAAGCCCTCAAATCTAGAGAAAAATAGGATAATAAGGGTAGCATTTGCTGGTTATATTTTCTTTTCAAATAAAAAATGCATTTCATCTTTATGGGAAAATACAATTCATTCATTTATTCAACAAATATCTATAGAGTACCTATTATATGCAAGAGTTCTTGTGAAGAAATATAAAGACTAAAAGAACACACATTCATCATAAATTAATTCCATTTCTACATATAATCAAAGTTGTCTAATAAGAAAAATAAAAAAAAGGTTATTAATGTATACAAAAGTGGATAATACTAAGAAAAACACCTAGAACTCTTGGCGAGGCTGGTTTCACCATTAAAATCATCTAATAACTGTACATGAAACATTTCCTCCAAACTGAACTTTCATTAAGACTAAGGAATAATCTACCTGCAATTCAGAACTTTGAGTAAATGACTTTTAAAATTCATGGATGGTATCATTTTGTTTCTTTGGTTCCATTTCTGGTTCTAAAAATAATATATTTATTTAATAACATCAAATCTGTGAAAGGTTTTGATTTTTTTGGAGAAAGAAGTATATTGAACTTAGCAATCATTAGAATTGACCCACGACTGTGTAAGAATTAGATACTTGCTCTGAATGTGACCCAAATTTAATGGACTGAAAGTATTATTGAAAAATAATTTTAATAACCATCCCACCAAAAATTTCTAAATCACCATTAGCAGAAACTTAAAATGACTAAAATATAGTACAATGCTATGATAATAATTTAATATTTACTGATCATTTACTATGTATCTGCATTACGGTTTTATATGTATTATCCTAGTAAATCCTTAAAAAACTTTAAGAGGTGGGTGATTTTATAATTCCCATTTTACAGATCCTGGTACTGGGGCTTTCTGGTCATTAAAACACCTGCCTAAAACCACTAATCAGTAAATGGGAGGCTGGCTTTTGAACCCAGTTTTGGTCGTTGTTCTTAATCATTATTCTTTATTGTTTATGGACATGTTTGTCTAATAGCATAATATGTAGAATCAAAGAAATGATATTAAGTGTGGAAATGGAGTCTCCAAACTCTTTATGCTTGTTTAAACGATCTTCTCTCTCGAGAGTGTATCTTCATCCTTTCATGCTTTTTCTCTCTCTCTGCTCTCCCACACCGATGCTCCCCACACCGTACACACATACACACACACACACTCACACCGTTGGAGTTCTGGTCTAACACTTACTTCATAGAGCAACCTAAAAGGCATAATGTGGTTGACCTTGTCCAATAACTGTACCACTTCCTGGGAGTTCATGAAGCTGTTCATGTTTGCAACGAATATACCATCCAGTGACTCTAAAGCTGCTGTTGTTCTTTACAAAGACATGATCCTATAGCCCTGGCTATTTCAAGATCAGTGTCCGCAGTTGTTTCAAGACATGGCATTGGGCTGTGATGAACCACATCAGTTTCTCAAGTGTAAGGAGGTAAGTTAGCATCTAAAACAATTCTGTCGCCCATGTGTAGTCAAAACAAGTTAAAAGTGCACTTGCTTTCACGATACCAAATACTTTGAAGCAAGAAGGAAGCTCAGACAGGAGAGAATCCAAAAACAATGAAAACGGAAGGAAAAAACACTGAAGTCAAGAATTCTCTGATTTTTTTGAAGCTATAAAATGAGAGAAGCGGAGGGAAAAAATCACATAACGCTCACTCTAAATCAAGCAAGATCAAACAGTCTTGGAAGGGATATTGCCGATTCATTTCAACCCAAGAGTCATAGGGAAACAATTAATGGGTACTGAGTATCTTACTCAGCCTTCTGCAAATCTATCAATGTCGTCACGGATTTTTTTTTTTTTTTTTTTTTTTTTTTTTTGGTTTATGTAAAGGGGGAAATATTCAAACATGAAATGAAAGAAAAAAATAGTCAAAATTATTTACTTTAACTTCTAACCTATATAGAGTCTAAGTGAACTTCCAATAAATACTAGAAATAAAAAAAAGATTCACTTAAAAATAGACAAATTTGTTAGATTTCATTTAGTTAAGAAAAATCATCCAGAATAAATTAGGTCTGGATTTATATAGTACCTTTTAAAGATATTAATGTTAACTGTAATAGAAGGGTGAAAAGATCTACTTTTTTAACCACATAAACCTTTACAAAAAGACCACCCAACAACTTAATAAGGCTCCTCAAATATGGATGAAAATCCGGTACCTTAAAGAAGTAATTGTTTTAATGGTTAACAGAGTTTAAAATTTCCCAAATTCTTGACCAGAGAATTACTTACTAGGCGAACCTCTAATAGAGTCAACGTTTTAATCGGGTATAGTTTTATCATACTTAAATGGCAAGATAGCGAATTTTCTATTTTAAAATTTCTATTCCATACATATGTTCAATAGTTGAAACTTTACAATGTATCTGACAATACCAACGGGTATGATTCAAATGACCCTACTGTTCCAGAGAATTTCCAAGAAAATAAAGAAATCTCTTACAATAGCCTAAATAGAAGCATAGTTTTAATTTGAATTTTTAAATGTGTGTAATTTTCTAACAAATAAATGTCAGAAAGTATTGACTCATATATATATTAGCATTTACAAAACAAAGTTTAACATCTTTTTCCTCCCTTGCTAATGGGTCTTGAAAAAGTGCCAGGTGTAGGAATATGCCATTGTTATCATATTCTTATAAGCTGCCTTATACATTTTTTAAGATCTATGTTGTATTAATTTCTTAACAATTTATCGGGAACATTTGCATTCACAGAAAAATAAATGCTTGATATTTAAACATAATTAAAATTATCATTCTTATCTATTTAAGTTTCAAGAGAAATAAAATTAAATTACACTTAACTGTTGGTCTAATTTGGTAAATTTCATATAGGCAATTAATAATTAGTGTAGTGGGTTAACAACTAAGCTAACATTTATACACTATTCATATACTGTTAAATCAATAATTTAGTTTAAAAATAAAATTAGAACAAATATTTATTAAGTGGTAACACTTTCTCCTGAAGGCTCCCATTTAATACATTTCTAAAGAAGAAGGCTAGTTTTAGAAAGGTGTGCTGGCAATAATCTGATTGCACCTCATACAAATGAGAATTCTACTGATTGAAAGGAGCCATGGCAGCTAGAAATTATTTTTTAATAGGATTTTTTAAAAATCACATGGGTAACAGTTGAAAATGTAACTGGTAATTAAAGCCTGCTTCTTAACAAAGTTTTACTTTATTTTTTAAGGAGAAGTACAAGCTTTTAGACTATAGTTTCAGATACAAGGAATATTAGTGCAGATATTTAGAAGTCAATTTATTTTGCATGGTATTATACACAGAACTTACACTGTACCTTTCAAATGAAAAGCATAAAACAAATCTGAAAACTAAAAGCTCACATTTTCTCCCCCTGTACTCTCTATTTTGACCTAATAATCATTTAAAGTGTGGGTGTTTATCAATAAAAATTTTTGCAGCACCACACATTGTGGTGGAACGTTGCTATTTCCCGAGATAAGTACAAAAAACCTCAATGCTAATTTGCATCACAAAATGATCTAACATATCTGGAATATAATGCACAAGCTTCATTGAAAAGAAACCATTATATTTTTCTTTTCGAAACAAAAAGTACAGATATCTGATTGGGTCTGGGTGTGCTGGAGGTAGGGGGTGGGGAAGAGGTCTCATTTTCTATCTCACACCTATTGTTTTATGTATTCTAAACTGCTATATGGGAATAAAAAGGAAACATACTGAATCCACTTTGCAGTTAATGTCTTAGTAATTTAAGAGGCAGAATTTTCAAGTTAAAGAAGGGAAACATTATACTTTTCCTTTCCCAAAGGTATTTCCCCTATTTCCCAGGAAGAAGGCCCTCTGTTCCTTACCCTATGTAGGGGGAAATAAAGGACATTAGTTAGGGCTGAAATCACTCCGAGACAGAAGAGGGGAAGTTTATGATGTGGCACTGTGCACAGTATCTGGTCTGCAGCCAGGAAGTTTTCATTTTGTAGCTCTGCTGCCAGTACCTGCCCTGCATATTCAGGAATAAAAATATACCAGAACTCTACCTGAAAAACTGTGGATGTTACAAAGAATTAAAAGAGTTTATTTTTCTTTCTTTATCCTGAGTGTAATTACTGTTTTTTAAAAAGAAAGAGCTGAAACTGTAGTAACTGGAGTTTTTTTTTTTTTTTTTTTTCCTTTTTAAACTCCTCAAACTACCTTCCCACAAAGCCATTTAAGTTAAATGGTACATTTACAGACTCACCTACATGAAGGATATAACTTAAAACATCTGCTTAGACACATACGTTCTGTTCAGATATAAAAAATGTGGCAAAAATTTTTAAAAATATAGGACCACTATATTCTTAAAATGTGTGTTCTTCTGTGTGTGTGTGTTCATTCATTCAAGAGATCTTTGACTGCAATTAGGTAGTCGGTCCTATAAAGGCTTCCTTGTGTGACGATAATTTCTAAAAGTAAAATGCTCCAGTGAATATTTCTGCTAAATAATCATATCTTAAAATTACTTTAAAGAAATTCCAATCCCTCATGTTACATTAAGCAATAATGCCAGTTTTCCATAATATGCCTTAGTTGTACCACCTTATTCAGGGTCGACAATTAATTAGAAGACAAAAAGTATAAATCGCGTGTTTATTAAGTAGCAGACAAATTTCTTTGTCTGTCTCAACATATTTACATTAATGTGTTTATTTTCTAATTTTGAAAATAAATAAGCATATTTAAGCCAAAGCTGCCTGTCTTCGGGGTTTGGGGAAGGATGCACATTCTCTTGCTATCCTTCTAACTTGCTGAAAGAATCACAGGTGTGAAAAAAAGACAGGCATAGTTCTTGGCTGATTTTTAAAAAAACACTTCACATTCTATCGAAGGACCATATCCACTTCTTTTTTAATCCAATATGCTAGGAATCCATAGTATCTGAGAGCAATTTATATGAATTCTTCATGTGCATCTTATCTATGACAACAAGATAGAAGAGGAAAACCAGACCACCACGCTCATGATGCTATTTGGAAAAAGCAGGTTCTCAAAAGGGACTGATTCAAAGATCAGTTAGTTCCTCCAGCCTCTAAAAACAAGTTTTGGGTACTTAATTTAAATCACTGCTTGAGGACTTGCACTGTCATTCTACATGAATCCCAACCACTTGCAGGAGGAACAACATTGCTCCATTCATTTCAAATTTACAGCATTAAGAATTAATAAAGTCTTTATAATGTCTGCATTATTTAAGAGTAATGATTCCTGAAGAAATCTGCCTGTAATATGTTTACTGTTTTTATTGCTTGTAATGTCGTCAATTTCCTTTTCAATGCCCTCAAAAGATTCTCTTCATGTACTTTGAACTTTGTTTACATTGGCTGTATTTTAAAAATATATACCAAGATTTAACTTGTACAATAAAATGACAATGTACAGCAAATGAATTATGGCGATGACAAATAAATGTTACTCATATCACCTAAAACTAAACCATAAATTTGTATAACATGTATCACCTAATTTCCATATTTAATAGGAATATGATTTTTTGCAGTAAACATTAAAATAGTATCAAGGAGATGTGAGATAATAGTATATTAAATAACCTTTTCTATAATCTTATTTTTACAATGGTATTCTTTGTCATAGAACATTCTTTAATTATTTTTCTTTCACAGACAAAAATAACAAAAGAACATCAATGCCATCTTCGTATTCTTAAAAGAGAGGGGTAAGGAATGAATGCTTCCAGCACCCTTTATTTTGTTATGCCTCAATATTGTCTGTAAAATAACATGGTTACTAAAAAATTCTTGATTTGAGCAAGACCAAAATTATTACAGTGTACTTTACAGTTATTTCACGCATGAATGTTAAAACATACTGAAATTATAAAACTTTCATAGACTTTTTTTCAGTATTCAGTTTAAGATAGGTTGTCAATAAGAGCTACTTTAAAAAAAACTGACAATTTTCTTTGCTCACTAACTATAGGAGATCATTGCAAATTATTTTCTTTCTCATGCTGCTATTCACTTACGTACTGCATATTTGCTTCAATTCTCCAAGGGAAGAAATGTGGCTCTTGTGGGAAAGGTCCACCCCTTTCTACATGTTTGCTTCCTTGAACGAAAGGAACACACCCCCTTACATTCTTTGAAATGTGTCCAACAATTGTAATAGCACTGTATTATTGACTAAATTAGAAAATCTTAAGTGATAGTCAAATATTGTTAATACACTGTGTATTTTGAGTCAGGAGAACTAAATGACACATATACAGAATGAAGTTCAATCTAGTGTCTACACTTGGATGCTATAGAATGTTTGTGTTAGTAGAAGAAACTCATGAATGTTTTTGTGTACAGGTATGTTGTATGACACCTCAGGAAGAGGCCCATGAATGTTACAAGTTTTTGATGGCCTCCTTTCAATTTAAGACCCATTACAGGAATGACCCCTTTCTTTCATAAGTATATTGGATAAAAAACATTTAGAAACTTAGGAAGTAGAATCAGAGAGCTGTTTGAAATCACAAACATGCAAAAATATCACAGGTCTACGCTTACCATCCTAATGGCAGAAAACTCACACCAAAGTTGGCACCCACTAACTTCTACCTCATTAAGGCAAGCTGCTGGTCATTGGATATTGTGTTCTAACACGACTTCCCTTTATGTAGAATAATATGTTTCCTTCCAAGGAAAGTTTTTCTTTTGTTGTTATTTTCTAATAAATATACTCCATATTTATAGAAAATTTTGCATTTATCTTTGATTTTATCTTTTCTAAATAGTCTTTCTTTATTCCACTTTTACAAAGAAATTTTCAAGTGTAAAGACACAGCAGGAAAAAAAATTATATCTCTTTTAAGATATTTTAGTGTGTAAATGAAATGGATAGTCCTTGTGCAATTTATCAGGCATTTCAGAATGAACCCAACTGTATAATTCCCAGGCCTACAAAATGAAAGCTTTGTTATTTACCTATGTTTCTCACTTGAAATAAGAGTGAATATAAAGAGTGAATATATAACTGCAACTGAAGGTAATAAACTTGTTAAAACTTAGTAAGATATTGTGATGGTCAAAGAAAACCTGCAAGTGCGTGCCACAAATCCACTCAGATGAAACATCTCATTCACTAAAATTTTCTATCTTATTATAATAGTGCACAGAAAATTAAACACATAAATATTAATTTTATGTATCACAGATGATGTAGGCAATGAAAATGCAATGTTTACATTTATGGGTGACTCATTAGTGTTTTATTGTGTGAAACACTAGGAGGCATCAGTTGGGTAAAAAAGGACTTCAATTTTAGAAGAAGCAAAAAATTACTGTAAAGTTGGGTGTGTAAGAAGTTAAGATTTTCAAAATGTTATTATGTAAACCAAAACTTTATTCTCTGAAATAAACTCTCAAAACATCATATTCTGTTGTAAAGAATGATCTTTATATAACATTCATGAAATATATATATTATATATATATATAAAATTTGACCAATGAACTTTTATGAAGATATGTTTCACATATATGGATTCATAACTATGTAATTACACATTTTTATGTAGAATATATTTGGTAACAGAATAACATAATGGATATTGACTATTATGCATTTTCTGCTGAATTACTCAATAACATGAGTGTATGTTTTATTTCTGGCAAATTCTGTTTTGTGCTCTTTATAACGCCTCTGAAAATGTCTAATGCATTTAAGCCTTACAATACCTGCTTCATGTAAGCAGACAATTTAATGTTTGTTCATAAAGAAATGATGGAACTTAAAATTTACACAATGAAGACATACATAAAAAAGGACATGTTTTCTCTTACTTCACTACTGAAAGCCTGTCATTTGAAAACTGAATTTTCCATTGTTTGAATGGATCATAATGATGAAGCAACAGGGTCAAAGTATGCTTATCTAAGCAATCATTTGAAATTGAGTGTCTTGCCATTCCTCAACAATCAGCTTTTATCTTTGACCTATCAAAATAACATGTGAACTATGTAATCTGCCTTTTGTAACGTGCATAGACTCTGTTGTTCCTGGTTTTGTGAATCACCTCTGTAATCTGGTTTGATTTCCTAAAGGTGACAGATCTCGGTGAACAGTCAAGCTTTACTGAGTGCAAGACAGTCCACGCGCCTATAAGATTAAGGTACAGTGCTAAGGACGGGGATCTTAATTACCTGTCTTTCCACATGCAGCATACTGATGGAACAACAGTGATTAAATCATTTCATCGTGTCTAGGCAATCACCACATTAGTATAGAATGAATACGTGTATTTTGATAAGTTTTAGATATTAATTTGTGTGGTATTTTCTCAGAGGATGTGCTTTTGAAAAAAAAGTGTAACTTTATTAATAATCTCTTAACAGTTCATCTTGTGACCATTAATTGCATATTAAATTCTTCTATGTTGCTTCGAATCATGTCCCCAAAGCCAGAATTCTGTTTAATAACTATGTCTTTGTTGTTATGTAGCACAAGTATTGCTGCACAGCTATTTCCCCATTTTTGTCACTTTCTGAGATTTCATAGACTCAAATTATACCACACTTTAGAGTTGAGAAATAAAACCACAAAATATACTACAATAAACAGAAGAAAGTTTTAAAAGATAATGTTAAGATATGCTAAGGAGTTATTCAGTGCTGTTCTTTATAAAAGAAGTTTAAATAAAGTATTTATTAGAAAGATACGTTTGCAGTGTTATGGAATTTATTGATTCCGTTAAGTTAGGGCCAAGGAAAAAATTTCAGGTATCTTTTCCCCCAAATTTTTCAAAATGAACATGTTTACAAAGAAGAAAAGAGGCAAAGTGCCTCTTGTTATCTAAGTTTCATGGAGTTATCTAGTATTAATGTGCTTCTCTCTTGAAAAGTTAATATCTGTGATTGCACACTTTTAAAATATGAATAGCTCAGAAAAGGTGGAAAACTGTTTTTATTATAAATTGCTCATTTGTTATTGAAATAAAAAACAAATTAACATTTAATAAAACTTACACTTTAATATTATCTTTCAATATATTCCACATGCACAGCAATCAGGACGTAAATGGTGCAATTAATGAATGAAGTAAAATGCTGCCTTTCCTAAGAAGTCTGAAAAAAAGTCAAACATTCGAATGCTGTGTGAATTATATTAATAAAAATAGTAGGTTTTTATAAAATTTAGTAAAATTTGAAGTAAAGGTAACAGCCACCTACTGTCTCTTTGACGGGAGAACCAAATTTTAAGCAAATGTTATGTTTAAAGACTGTTTTGATGAAAACTTTTAGAATTGAGTTAGTAGCAGAATACATAGCTAAATGTACTTTTCTACAAATAGAATGAGATATTTGATTTAAAATATTTCTTTCCTCTTGAAATAGGATGTTAGATAGGGACATCTCATTTTACCTATCAAGTTCTGAGTCTTGCTTTAGAACTACTTCTTTTAACTTAATTTCATGCATACACTGGAAGACAATAATATGGCTTTTTAACTGCATTATCTTTAGTTGAAACTGATGGAGAAACAAAAATACTGCTTATACCATATTGGTACATGCTGAATGTTTTTAAAGACTAGCCAAAACTGACATTTTTTAAAATTAAATAAGATGTTTTAGTTTCAAATTAGAGATTGTTGATCTATTTAAAGCTAAAATTGGTATGCAATACGAGGTTAAACGGGGTTCACAGGTGGTCACATTTCCATGTCCTACCAAGTCTCTAGGGATTGGAGTTATTATACTCCACATAAACATCTTTACTCTGCAACCACAATTCCATTGCAAGGTGCCAGTGAAAGTAGGCTAGTCGCTTTTTTTTTTTTTGGACTGGTATAATGAGGTGGCTGGAGTTTCCTTTATAGCACTTAGAAATTATATGCAGTCCCCAAGCATTTCATAAGACAGTTACTATTAGAGTTAGTTTCAGATTCACAATAGTAAAACGCACTTTGTGTCAAAGCAATTCTCCACTGAGGACCGGTTAAGGAACTGGCAGAGAGCCCAATTCTACTTAGTCTACTGTCAGCATTTACATATAAAGTATTTTATACAAAAGACACGCATTCCTAAAATGTGACAAAAAAAGGCTCTCCCCAAAGAATGATAACTACTGGACTTAGAATAGTCAGAAGTGATTCAGATATAAAATTTCCTTTAAAAAGCAATAGCCATGTTCAGGGAAGGAAGGTAACATTAGCATTAAATTTAAATACTTCCACAATATTTAATAATAAAATAAACAATGTGCCACATCTATATATACTTCCTTTGTGACAAACTTTATCATCGAGTTTGGTAACTTTCATTCCAAGTCCAAAGAGAAGGCAATTTAAGTGACTTAACCTTGCTTGCTTTTAAACAGCTATGTATTTGACTTGACCTGAACAGCAATCCATATGCTGAAATCGAACGTGAATTGTGAAATGTGTAGACTACTATGGCAGGGATATTACTTTTTGTCCACACCAATTAAGAAGCCCTCTGTCAAGCCGGCACTTTGGTGAGGGAAGGAAATGCACAAAGGTATACTCTGACAGACAGCCATGCTTTAGGTCAAACTAATCCCAAGAATTAGTGGCTCAGAAGCATAACCCAGGGCAAATCAGTGTCTTTGGGGGGACTCATGGGAGCATCTTTCCACAGTGAACTAACTGCTAAATCTTAAGGCGTCTACTTCAAGGTCACAGAACATGCTGTGAAATATTAAAATCCACCAGGCTCCACACGCTCCACCATATCAAACATGCTAATGACGTGAACTAACTTCATGAAACTTTAAATACACTGGTGTGACAGGAACGAGTCAGGAGTGATTTCAATAGCTGATGGCAAACGGATACGACTATCTAAAAAGTTACTTTTAGCAACAAACAAGGAAATCATGGAATCTAACGAAAAAGAATGCACAACGAGCCTCAACTTCAGCCTTCAAAAAAGGCACAGGGATAGATAGACACAGTGCCGTGGAATATATTGATGCAGATTTTAGAGACAATACCCGGGTTTTCTATTTCCTCGAGAAATATCAGGGGTACTTACATGAAGGAAGACCCGATCAGATTAGTCCTTGGGATATTTTCCTTTCTTAAGAGAGAGAGAGAGAGAAAAAAAAAATAACAACAATAATCTTTACTTCGTCCAGCGTTGAAGTGCTTCTCCACCTGATTCAAACATGCAGCCACGGCGACCCACACAGAACCTTCAAAGTCAATCCAATAGCAGCCCGAAGATGTCTGGGTGTACGCGTGTGCTCAAGTGTCTGTGACTGCGAGCAGAGCGAGCAGAGAGCTGGAGACGATGTGTGCGTGTGTGCGCGCGCGCGAGGGGAGCGCGCGCGAGGGGGGGGGCGCGGGGCCGCGCATTCGCGCGCGCCGAGGCCGCTCGGAAGAGGAGGAGGAGGAGGAAGAAGGAGGAGGAAGAGAAGGAGGAGGAGGAGGAGGAGGAGAAAGTGGCTCTCAGCGGCCGGTCGGATTAAAAGTAACCAGACTCGTCCAGAAAACTGCGTCCAGGAAGGAAGTGACAGAAGACGAATGGGAAAAGGAGAACAGCTCACAGCGTTTGAAACATCGCGTAAAAAAGACTGGGGGTGGTGGGGGCGGGGGGGATTGAAGGATACTGGGAGGGGAGGCGGGGGTGGTAGGGAAGACGGAGCACGAATGGTTGGGGTTCTAAGCAGCACGTCCGATGAAATGTCTTTTGCCTCCTTTTTTCCCCCTTTATTTAATTTTGTCCTTGCCTTTGCTTCGCGCTGCCTTTTTCTCTCCGTCTCTCTCTCCCCCACAATCCCAAACCGTTGACTCTTTCCTCGCGAGCTGGAGAAATCATCAGTTTCACTCTTGCAAAAGGGGGGCGGGACTAGACCTCGGAGCATTTTAATAAAACAAACATACAGCAGCTCCCTCCTCACCCCTCCAGTCTCAACTAGATTGATAAATTACTCCACTACACTACTTTAATTATGTATATGGTATGCAGAATAAATCACTGAACATCAGTACCTCAATCAAGCACTTTTAAATGATAATTGCATCTTGGTGAATCAATCTTTCCATTCCTGACATTTTGCTAATTTTAGTTTTACGGTGGGGTAATAGCACATGCCATACGCAAACCTAATGACAATTCTTTATTGCACGAAATGAAGACAACACGGCGAGCTGCGGCTCCCTGCTCCTCTCGCGGCGCCTCTGCGGAGGACGCTCGGAGAGAACCTAGTCTCCCGCTGCGGCGCGCTCGCTTGCTCTCCGGGGACGCTGCGAGCCAGCCAGCAGGAAAGTCCTTCTAAAGTCGGGATCTTTCCTCTGACCAATAGGAGCGCGACCCTAATAGTTGCTCTTGTGACTTTTCCCCCTTTTGGACACGCGTTAGCCACTTCTCTCTTCCACCGGTCGGTGCGCTCCTCCGTTACTCACGCGTAAAAACCACGGTCCAGGATGTCTGCAGCACTCGATTCCAGCGTGCTTTTCCTGCACGCCCAGAAGTCGCGGTTTTCACCCTGAGAGGTTGGAGCGCTAGAAAGCGAGCCGAAAGGTTTCTCTAATGTTAGTAATGTACGAAATAATAAAATAATTACCAGTATTTGAGATCTCGACTTCATCGCGGGGCCATGAACTTTCTAATCAGTTTGGAAATATTTACCGAGGAAGCAGCTTCCTCGGAGTTCCCCCCCTCCCCCCACTCTATCTTTTCCACACCTTACTGGACTTCATCCAGGTCATTAACATGTAAACCAAACCAACTTCCCAAATGCATTAGGCTACCCTAGCCGATAGCTGATGACTTCACTTATCCTGAAGAGTTTCAGCTGCACAGGAAGCAGAAATAGAGACTGATAAGGGAGGATACTTATGTTAAGGTTAAAGCATGATAAACACTTTTCCTTACAAAAAAAAAAAAAAAAGGCTTTAATATTTAGGCTACTAGAGATTGGGCACCTCCCGCCCTAACCAACTGTTAATATATACCATGCCCAATAAAGCCAAAGATAAAATACATCAACTAGTATAGAATCATGAAAAGACAAGATTGCATGCCAGTAGAATTATAGATTACATAAAATGTTTAAACCAAACTATTTTTTAAAAAATATTGTGAAAGCAAGAAGGGAAAATTAATAGAACATGGAATATATGAGATTAGACAATAGTATATTGAAATATCTAGCTAACTAAAGATTTCCTCACTTTAGAAAATTCCTTTTAGCACTACGTTTAACCCAATGACTAGTTGTATTTCCTGTTAAGTTCAGCAATATGCCTCCAGATGACTATTTTAATATATGAGGACAGTATGGTTCAAAAAGCCTCCTGCTTCAATGTAGGAGGTATTTGATGTGAGTAGCTTCTCTCAGAAGAGTGGCCTCAACATTTAGGCAACTGTCCCAAGGCTTCACTTGAAAGGGGAAGGTTTATTTTATAGGCAAGTACAACTAGATCTGAACAATCTTCAAGTTCCAGCTCATCATTGTGACTATCAGCAAAACTAAGACCATTCCCTCCCTTTTATTATAGGAATGCATCACAAACTGTCACAAAGCAAAAACCATCTGAAATAGTAGTATTTCTTGCAGATTAGTATTTACAATGTATTTTGTTTGCCGGTTTTTCAAATGTTGAGTTTGCCATTACCATGAATTCATTTTAATAATATGGCAGAGAACATCTGTATCAGGTTTCCATTCAAAGTACAACTTCTCTGAAAATCCAAAAATTTAAAGGGCAAAGATATTTCGAATACTAAGATATGTCTATATATGGTGGTAAAAATAAAATTAATTTTCTTCAAGATTCACGAAGGTCCTGAAAAAGCAAAGCATTTGAAGGACCATCTAAGTTTATTGCCATAATACCTAAAATTAATGCAGTGAGTTACAACAGTCTATTTGACATGAGCAAACACATAGCCAATACATGAATTTCAGCCCTGCTGTTTTTAATGAATTATAGAGGGTATTTCTGTTTACCACAGTACACTTCAGTTTTAGATGTTCTTTCAAAAAGAAATTATTTTATTTTACCTTTTCATATTTTAAATAATTATTTAATAATACCCATTATAACAAACCCATAATTATTAATGATACTGCAAGCATTCAAAAATAAGTATAACCCCACACTGGATAATTTGAAAATAATTTGGATCTGGAATGTATCACAGTTGGCCTTTTAAAATACAGGATTTTCCCCTCAGCAGATTTAGCTTCTTAATTATGTGTGACCTAAGTTAATATTACCATTAGTTTTCTTCCCATGAGCCTTTACAGTTGAAGCAGAAGAGATATGAAGAAATATACATTAGAAAATCACCTGAGATTTAAAATTATTCATGAGTAATCCACAAAGTAGTTAATCCAGAGTGTGCTTTGTATTCTTTAAATACTTCTGGACTTTTGGTTTCTGTTTCTGTTTTTGTTTTTTCTTTAAAATCATCCTGATCCTTGCCATCTAATGATACTTGGTTAGGATCAGACTATTTTCTCATGTAGGGAGGAGCTTGTACTAGGTGTCAGGAGACCTGGATTCTCTATCTAGTTCAAAATTTGTGCCTTACTAAGGGATTTGTCCTTTCTAGGCTTCAGTTCGCTTATGTGTTAAATGAGTTCTGTAACCTATTCCAGTTCTATCATTGGAAAACAGAAAATGTTTCTACCCTTTAAACCAATTGGAAGGTAGGGTCTATCCAGTTAAATAATAGGTGACAATTCCTTTAAAAGAAAATTATGTCTGGGATTGATGTACTACTGTACCAGCTTTTATTTTTTTCTAATCACCAAATATTTCTCCTACATTAAGTTGTAAATGCTTTATTGTTAATGTAAATATAGAGTCACTTGTTTTTCCCTCAAAAGAATTATGTTTAGCAATATATTTAATTAAAGTGTCATAGAAGTTACAGAGAGCATGCTCCTCGGGATTTTAACTCCAGGGAAAGCTAATATTGCAATTTCTGTTCAGAGCTGCATACCATCTTACTCCAACCTCCTCTCTTCACTACTTCCCTACATTAAAGCAGCGGTCCACTAAAGCCCTGTGCACTGGGTCTGCCTGCTTTTAAGCCTGGCCCACGCTGGGTGTAGCTCTTGAAGTGAGCTTTAAAAATTATTTTAAAGTGAACTGGGGCGGTTGCCACAGCAACCCACCCTGAGATGAAGAAAGGCTATAGATTAATGTACCCCTTAAGATTATTCAACTGTATAGTATTTGTTCCTCAGCCAGAATACTTTTAACACAAACATGATAAGTGAACATGGTGGTTTAGAAAAATCTAAAAAGCAGTGAAACACAAATTCCAATAGCATTACATATTTTAATCTTTGTCTAATTATAGTATTGATGATACACAGGACTTCCCATGAAATAGATTAATTTTATAAGATACAGTACTTGCAAAAGTAGGCCCTGAAAGATGACATGATCTTTAAGCAAAATGATATGTCATTGCTTATAATATAAAGTGTATGGTGGTCATTTAACTCTTTATTATTGTTATACACGTCTATTCTGTAAATACCTAAGGCCAAGGAGTTTGGCAGTTTTACCTTTATGGTAACTCTGTGGTAAATGATAAAAACAAATGTGAGCACTCACCACATACACTTCTTTACTGCCACAATCATTTGCCTTCCGTTCTTTACTTCATCTCTTCATAGAAGTTACTTCACAGTTTGCAACTCTTCTTTGGCACCTTCAAATGTGGAAGTGCAAAACAGTATATAGTATTTTGTTAATGCTGATATGAAAATACTTTCAAATAGATTTATTTCTAAAACTTCTAATCTGAAGTAACAATATTCTGATTTTAAACCAAAGTGTTTTGAATATAAGACAACTGAAATTGTCATGCATTGTGATAATAATCTTTAACATAAATAGTGCCAAATATCTAAATTTCAAAAATTCACTAGGTGCAGCATTAACCCAAGAAGAATATACAGCATGTGGAATGTCTGTGATTGAGAATTTGCAATATACAAAGGATTTGTTATTTCAAGACAAGGTTTACACATATCTAAGGATTCTATGTTTATCTGTATTTCTGTACCTTCAGTTTTATATCTGATAGAGAATTACAGAAGAATGTCAAATCCATTATATCCGAAGCTAACACAATTTGTCAAATCGGGAAATGTTTGCAATGCAGTTGAGGTTACTGAAAGGGCTTATTTTATGCATTGCCTAAAGGCCAATTTAAAATACTTTGGGATTAGTGATGTGTATTCAGTACGGTTTATAAATTCTATTACCAATAATACCTTATTTTTCCAAGCAGTGTTTAACTATACTGAGCACAGACAAATGCTCCTGTGTTCTGATTTCTGTTTTAGTCTGGCTTTCCATGACTTTGTGCACACAAATGAACCTTTCCTTGGCTTCAGACTGAGGCTAGTCCCAGAAAGAGAACCAGCCTTGAGACACATCAGACCAGGATGGTCAATATCTCTTTTCCCATTTGTAATAGCAGGAGGACTTTGCATAGTGAAGAATCATTTATAAAGCCTCTATATTTGGGTTGACATCTCTGAGGTTTATTTTTAAGTTGCTTCAGAGTCAAAGAGAAATGAAAAATTTTGGCCAGTTTTACTTTATGGGTGTTAGTTGAGTTTAGGTTTTTAGGCTTAGGCCCACAGTGAGTGAGTCCAAACTTGGTCTTGTAGTCACTACCAAGTGATTTGGTGAGTTCTCTTTCTTCCAGTTGTGCTTCATTTTACAGTCTATTAAGTGAGAATCATAATACACATCTCCCAGGGCCTATTCACCTTATAGAAATGCAATCTTCATGAAATAACATCTGAAAGGTATGGTAAGGTTTTTTTTTTTTTTTTAAACGACACTACAAATTATGATACATTTCTTTCTTTTCCTGTAATCAGTATGTCCAAATAAGGCTTGATCAGTAATTTGCTTGCAAGTGTGTGGCTGATTCAAAAATAACCACATGCATGAATAAATTTAATGCGACTTTACCTTTACTTACAAAATTGTTAAATGTTGTTCATCAGAACATTGATTCTATCCCATTTCTTGAAATATCACAGAAACCTTCAATTCAAGGAATGGATTTTCACACTTCCCCTTTTAACTGTTTCTTCTAGATACCTTACTATGTGTGTGCTTTTTCATTTTAAAAAATCTTTACCCGGGGTTGTGGTGGAAGTGGGGATTAAAAATCTCGTCCTGCGTTTTGGTGCCCACTTCTTTGTTTGGAAAGCAGAGCGCTGGGACTCAATCCGGACGGCCCTCAAAGACCCAGACGAGGGACGCCTCTAGTTTGAGCAACTCACTCCGCTGAGTTATTGATTGCAGGCAGCAACAATCCCTCCGGTTGATTTGTGTGAAAAGTGAATCCGCTCTGGCTGGGCGTTCAGCAGAGGCGCAACAGCTGCAACGCCATCCAATTATTGCCGATCCTCCCCTCCAACACTGCTCTCATCACCTATATACTCTTCTCTCTGCCCGTCTCTGCTTCCCCCCCCTTCCCCCCCCCCTTTTCTCCCGGCCGACGGAGCTGAAGGGGCGGGGGTTCCTTCCTTGGAGTGTTTCTAGAGCTCGGAGGCTGCTGGTAGGGGGTGAGTGCGCCACGTGCGTGCGCCACGGGCGAGCAGGAGGCAGGCTCTGGGCCCTCCTGGGGACCTGCTGGACCTGCTGGACCTGGGTGCGACGAGTGGGCGGCCACGCTGGTTTGGCGCGGGGAAGGAAGGGGGTGTGCCGACTTGTATTTAGTTGGGGGTTGTGGAAGTCACGGCTGGGGGAAAAGCGTCCGGTGGTTTGTTGGTAAAGAGGGTGCGTGATGGGCTCTGGGGAATGGAGGAGGGCGCAACGGCTGTGGGTGGACTGTGGAAACGGGCGGTGGCAGTGCCGGGGTAGTTGTCCTGCTGGTCTGGTTTTGGGATCCTGGGCTGGAGAAATGCGATCCAAAAGAGCTCGGGATGGGCTCAGAGCGACCCACGAAAATACCAGGGGCCAAGTAAAATGAACCCACCCTTTAACAGTGCACAAAGCGCTGGCACACGGTCCACGTCTGGTGACGCAGGCTGCCCGAAGCGCTCCAACCATTTTGCAAACCTGGGAGAGCAAGAGGGGCTCTGCAGGTCTAGCCGCCGCCCCTGTCCCACTCTGGCCAGCCGGAGTTTTTCACCTGACAGACCAATAGGAAAGAACACGGGCCCCAAACTGGATTTTATAGTCTGAGCTCTCAGCATCTAAGGAATTATATTTCAAAAAACAAAAGCCAACTCATAGCTCTATTAAGCTAACGCGTGTGCGAGTTTTGGCTAGGAAAAAGCCACAAAGTAAAGCAAGAAGTAGGGTATTCAGGATAAAACACACACTTTAAAGACAAAACAGAAAACTTCCTTTCCCCTTGTACCCCCTTTATTTGTTAACACAGGGGAACGGTTCTGGGATGTCTTACAAAAATGCTGTCACTAAATGCAGATATCTGTGCTGTTCTTTGACCTGTCTGGCATTGTGGAATACTCAATTACATCGAAGGTGTAAAAACGTTTATGTTATCATGTTCTTGAAACATTTAGCGGCTACCAAGATGGTAGCTATTTAAATTAATTAAAATAAGATAAAATAAAAATAAATTCTGTCCCTCAGTTCCACTGGCCATATTTCAAGTGCTCAATAGCCACATGTGGCTAGTGGCTCCCTTACTGGACAGCGACATGTCAAACGTTTCCATCACTGCATAAAGTTCTGCTGGAGAATACTGCTATAGAGTTCAAAATGAATGCTGGTTAAAAAAAGAAAGAAAGAAAGAAATTACTTTATGACTGATACCAGCCACATTTTAGGACACTCTTGGAGTTTCTGTTACTTGGCACTAGTGTGAGAAGCTTTAAAGTCAGACTTTCAGTATCTTCCTGCTGAAAGAGACCTTGGGGAACACTTCACCCAGACACCTAATTTTTTTATAGGCAAGAGAAATCAGGCCCAGAGAAGTTAAGTGATGCCCCCAAAGTTATGTCATAAATTTGGAAAGAAGATAAGGTCCCCTAACAGGGTCCAGTATACTTTGTGCCAGACAAGGACATCTTTCTAGGCAAATTCATCTTACAGAAAGTCAACTTGACTGAAAATTTTAGGCAAGAGTACCCTTTTACAAGAAAAAATACTGCTAAGTATTCCTCCAGGAAGAAATTCCATTTAACAAAGAATGAGGAGCATGGGGAATAATACTATCTCCCAAACTAAAAATGTATTATTGGTAGTGTCATAGATTCATATAATGCCTTTTCTAAGAGGCTAATTGGGATAACACTGTGCTTCATTCTACTTTAAAAATTCTGAGGAAATGGGATTATCCTCTTAAAGAGCTAAAAAGCATTCTTAAGGTCAGGGAGGAAAGGTGTCACCTAAAGTGAAAATTTTTAGCAAAGCATAATCTTTCTCAAATTTGATAAAGATATCGGAGACATTGATTATGATATAACTAGGATGGAATTGGCTCAGAAATGTTAATAACCAACCAACCTTTTTTTTTTTTTTTTTTTTTTGAGACGCAGTCTCGCTCTGTCGCCCAGGCTTGAGTGCAGTGGTGCGATCTTGGCTCGGCTCACTGAAAGCTCCACCTCCTGGGTTCATGCCATTCTCCTGCCTCAGCCTCCCGAGTAGCTGGGACTACAGGCGTCCACCACCACGCCCAGCTAATATTTTCTTTTTTTGTATTTTTAGTAGAGACGGGGTTTCACCATGTTAGCCAGGATGGTCTCGATCTCCTGACCTCGTGATCTGCCTGTCTCGGCCACCCAAAGTACTGGGATTACAGGCGTGAACCACTGCACCCGGCCCAAACAAAACATTATTACAAATTACACTATCTGAAACATATAAGGCAACAGAATACATCATAAAGATTTAGACAAAGCATAAGCTTTCTTATTAGTTTTATTGTTTTGTTTTGTTCTGTCTTTTGGGTTTGTTTTGTTTTTAATGCCATGTTTGTATTCTATATATCTTATTGTTAATTAGGAGTGAACTGTTGGTATTAATTCTGCTCTTTTATAGTAGTTACCTTTTAACTTAACACTTAGTTAAGGATCCCCGAAGTGTCCAAATAAGAGTACTTATGAATATTAAATAATTTTAAATTAATAACAATAAATTATTTTAAAAGTGTAGATTTACATTTTTATTTGAATTATTGTCTTTATTGCTCTTCTTAATTTACCATTTGCGTGTGGTTCAGCATTCTTCCCATTCTCCCTAAAATCCAGTATCCTTAGAGAAAATGTTTCACTTCTTCAGGTGCTTGTAGACATGGAAGAAGGCCTCACCTTCTCCATGGCTGACAACCGAGAAGGCTGGTCTGACTTGGAAGAAGCTGTGTGGCCAACAGCCAATTGGCTGTATCACATGGTAACTGTTTGATTATGCATATGGTTTAAATCTCCCTTTGCCTCAGTTTCCTCATTTGTAAAATGTGGAACAAAATGTGCTATCCTCAAAACTTTGTTTAAGGATTAAATGAGCTATTCAGCATAAAGCACAGGGCTGGAAAAGTGACAAACTGCGGTAAAAATTAGCCATTCTTAATCTAATGCAAAGAATTTCCACTTCTATACCATTAAGTTCTTTATTCACCTATACTGGGGTTATCACAGCAGAAAGAAGTAGGTCATCCGAGAGGTGGGAATTGGTTCAGGATGAGATTTACCTTGGAAGAGGTAAAATGTTTTAAAATACCATGACTTAAGTGTACAGGTTGCCTTATTTCCCTTTCACTGACATCATGCCTCTAGGATATTTTTTCTTTTTTGGGGGGATGCTTTATTATACTTGTTAGCCACTTGGTTGCTGAAAAGGCACTGAAAACTCAGAGTCTATCCTCTTTTCACCCTGGTTGACCTTTGGAATGCTATTGTCAGCCAAGATGACATTGATATCTTCAGTCTCCCCCTAGCTTGAATTCTTTAGGTCAGAGTCCGCTCAGATTGTCTCCTGATGTCATTCCAAGTGTCTGATGGCCGTCTATGGCAACTGGGTTGGGCAAAAGCCTGCTGGGAAGGGGTAGCCCACAGAATGCCTAATGGAGCGTTCTGTTCAAGAGGACCTAGAAGTAGTTCTGTTAGACATATGATCAACACTACAGCTGTGTTAGGGGACTGTACCATTTCTTGAAAAACAGAAGCATAGTCATTTTGCATTTTTGGTTCTAATAAAGTCCCACCTGAGATGTTTATGATTTATACTGATTTTATGATTAAGTATGTATTACAGAAAAAAACAGACTTAGAGAATGTCAATAAAAATTTTATATCTGATATTCACGCTAACACTAGTTATTAAGTGAAGACCCCAAGTTAAGACAGAAGAGTTTAGAAAAGAAGGAAAAGAGCTACCGCATGGCAAAATGTACATTATTCTATCTTTCTAGGTATTTTTCTTTTTCTTTCTTTTCTTTTTTTTTTTTATGGAGTCTTGCTCTGTTGCCCAGGCTGGAGTGCAGTGGTGTGATCTTGGCTCACTGCAACCTCTGCCTCCCATAGAGATGGGGTTTCAACATGTTGGCCAGGTTGGTCTTGAACTCCTGACCTGAGGTAATCCGCCCACTTTGGCCTCCCAAAGTGCTGGGATTACAGGCTTGAGCTACTGTACCAAGCCATTTCTAGGTAATTTTTTAAATGACTATGTTCTACTTATCTGGATCTTACAAAATTATTTATAAAATATTTTATTTATAATCCTAAATTTTAAACCAAGCAATATAATAGAAAATGTTATGTTTTCAAGAAGGTAAGATCATGCATAGATCTATATGCTTTCAATACGTAATTTTATAGAAATTGTGGAACAAGGAGGCACATAATTATATCAATATTCTAATTTCTTAGGAAGAAACAGAATTTTCACTGGGAGGAGTTTCTAAATTATTTTGTAATATGGTGAGAATTAAAAGTAAAACTCAATAAAACTTTTAAATTTAAGTGAGTGATTAAAACCAGTTTGTTTCACCAAAGTACTGATTGAGTCAAAGACTCAAACAAAAGGCCAGATTTCCTACGGACTATTACTTATTTATTCATTTATACTAAATGTGTAGTTAAATCTTTTAAATCAGTAATGTTCTTAGTCATAATACAATGATATCTGGAGTATATATGCAAAAATAATACTATCTTATTAGAATGTGGGTTGAAATGAATATTTGAAGTACCTAACATTTAATGGCCACATACTATTTGTCAGGCTCTGTATTAATTGCTTTATAAACTTTTGTTTCCTTTTATTCAAAGAACAACCTTTTAGACATGTACTATTATTGTCCCCATTTTAAGATTTTACACACTAAAGCTGTGAGTGCTGACATGACCTGCCCAGGGCCACATAGTTCCTAAGTGCCAAACGACATAAAACCAATGTGTTTGTTTCCAATACTCTACCCTTAGCTATGATGCTATACTGCTTCCTTGTATTCATAACGTTTGTTCACTTATAGTGATAATATAATAGATATTTTTGTCCCACCAGAAAATATTTCAGAAATACATATCTAAAGGCATGTCATCCTCTTTAAGGTAGACACTTTAGAAGACTATTCATTTATTTCAGTAATGTTGTCTTTGCTCAAGTCTATTTAGAAATCTCCTCAGGGATTTGCTACACAGTCTTAAAACTGGCCTGATTGTTGGCAAATCCTTATCATTAAGGATGAATTTTTTCCAAAAGTAAATCCAAGCCAAATGTAGTAAACAGGATGAAAACTAAGATTTGAGTATAAAGCATTAGATTATTTGATATTTGTCTCATAAATTGACACTAATTGAAGATATAAAAGAGGAATTTCAAAGTATTTTTGATATGATTTTATAACCTTTAAGGAGACAGTTTTGACAAGTAACACTCGTAAAAGGTCTGGTATTTTTTTAAAAAAGTCATTTTCACTAAATTAATAGTTATAGATCATGTATAAACAGCATGGGAAATGTTCTTTTCAAAGAGTATAAAATGGGCAGCGGAGGGTAACTAGGAAACTCTGGAGCAGAATCCACGTTTAGACACTAAATAATTGTTTTGACCTTAATTTTCTAAATGCCCTTTTTGTAAAATGGGGAAGGTGGCAGGAACTACCCATGATAATGATTTTGCCGAGAGAAGCACATGAAATTGTACTTCTGTGGCCACTTAGTGCCTCGCATATAGAAAATTCTCAATAAATGTTAGCTATTATATACCATTTCACTTTCAAGAAATACCCCATATTCCTGGAAAACATCTCAATGTTGTAGTTATGTAATGATATTTTAAAAGATGTTTTCTTTTCTGTCAGTTTCATGCTTCCAAACAGTTATTTTATGTAAAGTATTTGATATATAAAGTAAATATAAACATTTATGGTCGTATGTTTATTCAGTTAATATGTATTATATCAAGAAGTCTTACATGTTGGACTGCTAACTATATTATCCTTGTCAGTGTTCTATATAATATTGTCTTTAGATAAACTTTTTTGGGGTATTCTTATTGGATTTCATCAGACTTATGAAAGTAATGACATACCCATTTGCCCAGAATGATGCTCCAAGATTTTATTTTTTAGTTACCTCAGACATCTTCTAAATTGTTTATTCATTATATAATCTTAAATTTAAGGGAACTGAGCATAAATATGTTGAATTAGTGGCTTCCTATTAGATCCCAGTGAACTCCTCTTAAAACAGGGCTCTTATCTGTGTAGCATATGCGCAGTTGTGATGTTGTGAAAGTTTGTCTTTACATCACTCTCTTCCCTATACTCACCTTCAGCAGGCCCTGCTTTCACTTTGGCATGCTCCACTCACCCAGCAGCAATTTTTACAATCAGTAATAGCTCTTTCACGAGTGCTTCTTTCTCCTCTGGGCCTTCCACTGATGCGACCTACAAAGTCCTTTCATCCCTCAGCCGCCCCTTTATGTCCGCGGAATTCTTTCCAACTATGTTCTATCAGAGGAGCCGGCCACTACAGCCGCCTAATCCATGACACGGTATCATTGTGCAATCACTTTAAATGAACCTCTCTTCAAAAGTTTTCTGAAAAGAATTCATAATCCAAAGGAGTATCCATGCTTCCACAGATACCCTGCTGTGTTGGTCAGGTGGTGTTTTAGGGAGCACTTTCAGTATGTCTCAGGTCCCTCCCACCAGCAGCCACTTCATTTGTCCACACAGATCTAAGCCTTGGATGCAAGCAAATGGGAAACCTGGCCCTTACTTGAGGAAGCAATTTTGTTTTTGAAAATGTTGGGATTGGAAGATGAACTCTCTATCAGCAAAATATTAAGATACTCCTTGAAAATTTATATACTTAAAAAATTGTACATTGCATTACCTGTTCCCCTGGTCTCTTTTTCTATTCCCTCTTTGCAATATGAGGCAGGCAGCCACTGCGTGTCCCTTGTACCATAGTGACTATGTTGTCACTCAGACTTACCCTGTGTGCTCTCCCTTCTGCCCCACCAAAGCCACCAGAGGTGTAATTAGTGATTATTTATCCAGAAATGTCTTGAACAGGGTTTAAGAACTCTTTGAAGAGAATATGTACCACTTGTTGGATGAAAGAGAGAATTTGAAACGGTTGGGGAGAGGTTTAGGGACAGAGGGCAAATTTCATTCTGCCTTCTATCTCCTCTATTAAATCACAGATAAAGCATCTTCCTATGTGCAAAGACAGGGTACATAAACAAATATTTCCCAACTTAGTGTAGTCTTAAATCTTTAAATAAAGAGTATCCATATCAAATGGAATGCAATTTTATATTAAAAATCATCACTCAAGATTCAAAAGGAAGAAATAAGATTCTAAGTAAAAGATTTTGAACACTACTAAAGTAAGAAACATTCTACAACTTTCTTATTCCTTTTGACCCCTTTAGCAAAGGCTAAATAGCTAGCCAACAGATTTCCTCCCAACTATTCCATTTAACTTCCTTTCTTCCTTCCATCTGTCATTCATTCATTCTTTCCTTCCTTCCTTCATCTTTTCTGCTTCCTCTTTTCATTTTCAAGTTGTAAATTCTTTAGTATCAGTTGTGAACTCAGTAAAGCTACACACACACACACACACACACGCACAACTGGTTATTAACAGGATTTTTCCTTTGCGTTGGAAAATTACATTTTCTGTTTCAGAACCATAGGGTATTATTCTTTTTTGATTTATCAGAATCACTTCAAAATAAAATACCTTCACTAAAGGAGCTTATTTCTAAACAATTGATGATGCATGTTATAGATAATATGGTCATAGAATAACTTCTATGATTATTTTTTGTTATTAATCACTGTAATTACTCTATGATTGCAATGATGATTAACTTACAATGAATAAGGTCTGTGCTTGTGTTGGTTATATAGTATTTGTGAAGGATTTATGTTCATGCATCCACACAGTCTCATCTCATCCTTACGTAGCCGTGAGATTCTAGTCTGTGTAGCCTACGGCCGCAAAATAAACTCACCCACAGGAGAATAAAGCCTATGGTTTCTCTCACATTATCAGTGGGCTATAAGCTCTTAAACTCCACAGGTCAGTGATGATTAACTGAGCATTCTAAAACTTGGTGAATGTGTATGCTCTACACTCTCATACGTTCCATAATAAGCACTGTCTGTATTGTTTGAATGACTGTCCTGAAGAGTTCGCTCAAGCCGTTTTATCACATTTCAAGCTGTATTATTTAGCATCTTAAACTTAAGAAAAACTTAAGAATGATTTTTTTTCTGGCTTTTCACTAGTATTTGATGACACTTATTTTCCAGTCTACATAAGATAATTAAAATAAATGAA